>NC_000014.9:70217773-70369288 GCF_000001405.40 Homo sapiens | reverse complement strand
AACCCTGTCTTTACTAAAAGTCAAACAAATTAGTGGTGCATTCCTGTAGGCCCAGCTACACGGGAGGATTGCTTGAGCCCAGGAGACTGAGGTGCAGTGAGCCGTGATTGCTCCACTTCATTCTAGCCTGAGCAACGGAGTGAGACCTTGTCTCAAAAACAAAAAAACAAACAAACAAAAAACAAAAAGCAAGTTCCCAGAAGAGAAAAAAGAAGTTCCAGACCTAGTGAATCAAAAACTCTGAGCGTGGCATCTCACAATCTGTGTTTTTGTAATCCTTCCAGGTGACTGATTCATGCTAAAGTTTGAGACTCATTGCTCTATGCCAGTCATCATTCCCTTTGCTCAGGTTAGAATCATCTGGAGAGCTTATAAACGTCCCCATGCCCAGGCTGCACACAGATCAATTAAAAGGAACCTCTGAGGGTGGGACTCAAGCAGCAGTAAAATAAAGTTCATTGAGTGATTCTGGTGTGCAGCCGCAGTTGAAAATGTTATATAGCATTTAAACAAGACACTATTTAATTAAACACTATTTAAATTATTAAATTACATACATTGCTTCAGGCAAAACAACAACAACAACAACAACAACAAAAACTTGGGCCTTTAGAGCCCAGCTTCCTGAGCTTCTGCACGAAGTAAGTGGAACATTCATTTCTTCCTGATTTGCTAAGGATTGATCAACCTCCAGCAAAATGTATGATTAGTGAGTGTTTCAGTTGGTGCATCAATTAAATGAGAACCAATCATAGAACATTGAAGCTAAAAAGGACCAGAGAGCTTCTAGGATGAATCTGTCTTAGAGATGAGAAAAATAAAGGCTCAGAGAGGGAAGCTAACTTAACTCTGATCAGACTTAGTTTGTTGCAGAAGTGACCTTTCTGTCTCATATTTATGTCTTGAATATATTCACTACATGAATACACAGACTACCCATTTTATCTTAGTCTACTTCTTTCTTCTCTCTTTGGGCCTGAATAAAGACCAGAACTGATAGACAGCTAAAGGATATTGCAAGCATCATTATTGGAATTGGGAGATTCCACAGAACAATCTGAGAATGATCTCATATCAAATCCAATCAGATGAGTTATTCTGAGACTAATTCCAATAGTTCTAGAGACTTTTTTTTTTATGGTGGACATTGTTTTTATTGTGTAAATAAGCAATTTTTAAAGTATATTTAAAGAAATGAAACATAAGGAAGTGTATAGGCTGTCAGGTATGTGGGGAAGTGAAGTTCATGTAGTTTTCATGTGGAGCCCATACAGATTTTATTATAGTCAATTTTAGTGAAATTTATCGTTGGTCAGATGAAGGTTTTTTTCCTTCATTCAGCAAATAACTAATGACTGCCTACTATGTGCTAGGTGCCGAAGATAGAGAGATAAATAACACTTAGTCACTCTAAGCTGAAATTGCTCAGCATATGAAAGTGGAGGAATATTTGTAGGTGATTTTGATGTTAAAGTATTTTTTTAACATCACCTGGTAGTAGAAGATTGAGTTATGAAGCTGTCTACCTCTCACCTGTAATAGTTTTAGAGTTGGTTGCTATTTTGGTGTAAGTCTTTTTTGCTGTTCCTCTTTTAACTGCAAATCTTTTTGAGACCAGCACTCACATCCAAAAGGGCAATTGTGATAAAAAAGAAGACAGTATTTTAAGGATTCTGATCAGAACCAGATTCTTTTCTTTTCTTTTTTTTTTTTTTTTTTTTTTTTTTGAGACGGAGTCTTGCTCTGTCGCCTAGGCTGGAGTGCAGTGGCACGATCTCAGCTCACTGCAATCTCTGCCGCCCGGGTTCAAGCGATTCTCCTGCCTCAGCCTCCCCAGTAGTTGGGATTACAGGTGTGTGCCACAACGCCTGGCTAATTTTTGTATTTTTAGTAGACACGGGGTTTCAGCATCTTGGCCAGGCTGGTCTTGAATTCCTGACCTCGTGATCCACCCATCTCGGCCTCCCAAAGTGCAGAACCAGATTCTTAACTGCCACAGACTCTTGTATTATGTAATTTATATACAGAACACAAAGCACTTGATTTGCTTAACTGATGTACTTGATGATACTATAAAACCTATATTATGAGAAAGCATTGCTCCTTCAAAGGAATCAAGTGATAGCAAACACTCGGTCCTGTTTCCAGGTTTTCCTCACTGTTCATTTTGCCTTTGTTCTTGCAGGGGGAGAATGAAAGGGGCGAGAGCTAAAGTGTGTTGTCAATGCAAGTCAATCCTTAACCAACAATAATTTACAAAAGAACTTTATATTTGCTGTAATCATTAAATTTAGTTACTAATCCCAGGAAAAGGGTTAGTCCTTCCTCCTAGTTTGTAGATTTGCAAATGGAGATGAATAATTGAATCCTATTTTAATCTTTTATCTGCAGTAATCTGGGCTTCTTATTACCGGATATATTTGCATTTTACCTCCAGGCCATGTTAGTTCTTAGAAGATTATTTTCCTCATGAACCCTGTTTTGTTTTGCTTCCTTTCTGCTTCAATTCTAATGTCACATTGCATACCTGGATGTAAACAGCAGTCAGTTTCTCAGATCAAATAGAGCCCTGTAGCAACTTGGAAGACACAGAAGACACACGGACATAAAACTGTATTTATTATCCAGGGAATGTCACTACGGATTAATTATGTTAATGAGGCCATCAAAATCTATGGTAATCTTTCAGGCTTTGTTGTTTGATACCAGATACAGCAAATGAGATAATAATGTGTCTAATTGTGCCTAGCCAGTATTGGTATTTAATAAAACTTTGTCATTGAATCTTTACAATCTTTTTTCACCTTATTTTGAAGACCGTTGATTAAATATCTCATTTTTTTTTCTTCCAGATGAGGGTTTTTTCCTTCATTCAGCAAATATCTGATAAGTGCTTACTATGTACTAGATATTCTTAGGGTAACACCTCTGACAGAATTGTGGAAAGAGGAAGAAATCTAAATGATCAGTTTGAGGCTTTGACATAGGAGATAAGGAACAGGACATTGATATCCTGTTAACAATTATGGAGCTCTTATCAATATTCCAGCTTTTGTTCTAAGGCCTTTGCATGTATAATATTTATTTAAGCCTCAAAACAACTCTTAAGATAACTGCTGTTGTTATCTTCATTTTATAGATAAAAGGCATAGAGAGGTTAAGTAACTTGCCCAAGTTATACAGCTACTAAGTGCCAAAGCTGTGATTTAAACCCAGGCAATCTGGCTTCAAAACCTGCATTCATAACTATAACACCTTACTGTCTCTACTTCCCATGGTACCAGGCACTGCATTAGGCTGCCCTTTTGTATAACTTAATGCCAAATTCTCATATCTGTGCAAGGCAGTGTCAATATTCCATTTTTATAGGGGAGGTAACTTGATGCTTAAAGAAGTTAATAACTTGCTCAAGATACATAACTAGTCAGTTCCAGACCTGGGAATTTACTTCAAGCCAATGAGTCCACTGCCCTTCCACTATTCTAGAAAATTAAGGTTTACTATACTCAATTTGATTCAACCATGCTATCATATCCTTCCATTATGGATAACAGGAAATTGACTGCACTAGGTTAAATGTTCTATAATAGCAGTAGCAGTATCATTGTGTATTTATTCGCAATGTTTGCAAGCAGTTGCCAACATTTACCATCTTACTTGTATCCCCTTCATCCCCCAAAGCCTTATAAGATACATAGAAGGCAGAAGTGGGTTTGTGCCACAGCATGAAAAAGGACTTGTCAGAACTGAATATTGTTGACCTTTATTCTAAGTTAGTTTGCATACAGCTGACTTTGATATGAAGAGAAAAGGCAGTTTACATTGGTCATCATTGCTCCGTCACCCATGTTAAGCAGTTCAGGCCTGAAATCAAATTGGTAGTCTACAGTATGTATAGAATGGCCATGTTCTTTCTTGATAGGCAAAGGTGTGTCAGTTACCAATTATGTAACAAACCACTGCAAAACTTAAGTGGCTTAAAGCATATTAATAATTTTTTAAAAGATTCTGTCAATTGACTATTTGTTCTGCTGATATCACCTGGGATGGTTTTACTAATCAATTCTTGTATTTTTGCTTGTTTCCTATTTTTTTAGTTTAGCTTTTATTTTGGTTAATTCCCTCGTTATGCTTTCCTTTGTTTGTGTTTTTGGTTTTGGGCTTTTTTTTGTTGTACTTTTCCTTTTCATAAGTTGGATATTTGTTTTCAGTTATGTGCAATCATAGGACTTCATATGAAGTTTTTTTCCTTTTTATTAACTGCCATGTAACATAAGTTCTATTTTGATATCCTCCTCAGTTTGGGGGTTATTCAAAATGTTGTTTGATTTGGAAGTGATTATTTTAGGAAATAGATTCATTTTTGAGGCATCAAGTTCCAATTCTATTGGATGTGCATTGTGTTTTGTTTTATAGGAAACTTTGTGTGTACAATGGTATTTGACTAATCTTTTTTTTTTTTAAAACCAGTGGTAGACAATAGATGTTATTCAAGCATTTAAAACAACACAAAACACACATACAGACAGGACATTTTTTAATGGTTTCCTTTCCAGGAAGTTTATCTTGAGATAAAAGTGCACTTCACTTGCTCTCAATTCAAACATTTGTCTTCATATTTCTAAATATAAGTGTTTCTGTAAAGTTTTTTTTAACATAAAGTTCAATAGATAAAATCCTGTTTCACCACTGACTTATATTACAAAAGCACCCATCCACCTACCCAAAAAGGAAACCCTAGTTAATTAACAATATTTATACAGAAAGCTTTCAGATAGGGCTTAACCCTGTGACAACCAGCAGGCTAGAGTTCCTGCTTTGCTCTACCTGATGAAATTTGTAATCCAAGTAATAGTGTACTTTAGGACATTGCCGTTGTCTTTGAATTCCTTTCGGTTTCTTTTGTCTGTCTGTATAGAAGAGACCTCTAGCACTTTTGTATGGAATAGTTACCTTTGATTCTCTCCAAAGTGTTACAAAGCAGATTTTTGTTTGGTTTGAGAATTACTGGCCGGGCATGGTGGCTCATGCCTGAAATCCCAGCACTTTGGGAGGCCAAGGTGGGAGGACTGCTTGCGCCCAGGAATTTGAGACCAGCCTGGGCAACATAGTGAGACCTCGTCTCTACAAAAAATGAAAAAAAAAAAACAAAAAACGCCAGGTGTGCTGACATGGACCTGTTGTCCCAGCTACTCGGGAGGCTGAGGTGGGAGGATCACTTGAGCCTGGGAAGTTGAGGCTGCAGTGAGCCATGTATTCTTCATCCTTCACTGTATAGCATGATATGGGAAGATCCTGCCATTTCCTTGTTTTTGTTTGTTGGTTTGTTTTATTTATTATTATTATTTTTTTAAGATAGGGTCTTGCTCTGATGCTCAGGCTGGTCTCAAACTCCTGGGTTCAAGTGATCCTCCCGCCTTGGCCTCTCAAAGTTCTGGGATTACAGATGTGAGCTACCACTCCTGGCTGCTCCTGTCATTTCATTTGTTTTTCCAGAAAATTATGCATTGTGGTTTTGTACTATGAAGGAAGTCATGGAAAACAGAAATGTATTAGGCATGGTCCTGTTTACCCCATATCTTATACTCCATAAAAAGTAATAAGGCAAATACAGCAATAATTCTAAACTTGGAATGTTCATGATCACTATCATAAGAGAAAGTGCATTAAAGAAGAAACAGTTGATTTTCTGGCTGAACAATATCAAGGACAATTTTAACTGGTTTCAAGTTGGACTGAACTAGACCAACTCTTAGCTACTCTAGTTCTAGCCATAGAAATTAGATTGAATGGAGAAAAGGATTAAAATAAACCTTGGTGGCATGTTGACCTTGAGGTGTTAGAAAATCGTTCAGGCTCCTGGAAGTGTACCAGAAGTCTTCCATGCTGTGATAAAATTTGAAGCCAATGTGAAAGTGGAGTTTACCTAGGGAAAGAGGATGGAGCAGTGGTTGTCAGAGTGTGGTCCTCAGACCAGCAGCATCACCCAGAAGCTTGTTAGAAGGGCAGATTTTCAGGCCCCATCCCTGATCTACTAAATCTGAAACTCTGGTGATGGGGCCCAGCAGTCTGTTTTAATGCTCTCCCAGGGATTCTGGTGCACACTAAAGTTTGAGAGTAACTGAGACAGAGGGAAAAAATGGGACTAAGGACTCCAGTTTAAGGTTTGTAAGTCTGAAGACAACAAAAAGAAGTCTCACCATTGGAGAGGAGCCATGGCAGTGAAACTTCCATAAAAGCCACAGGAGGAGAGAATTTCAAGGAGATAGTCAGTATTGTCCAATTCTACAGGAAATTTAGTTCTGTTTGGGATATTTGTACCCCTTCCAAAGTGAGACCTTGTGTTTGCCTCTTAACTTTTCTGAGCCTTAGTCTGTTAACCTATAAGATGAGTCTGGCATCATGTTCTGCCCCTATCATAAGGTTTTTGAGTGAATCAAATTAGATGGTAAGCCAAGCATGGTAGCACACACCTGTAGTCCCAGCTACTTAGGAGGCCAAGGCAGGAGGATTGTTTGAGCCCAGGAGTTCAAGACCAGCCTGAACAATATAGCAGAACCTGTCTCAAAAAAAAAAAACAATTAGTAGATTCAATGGCATTATCAAAGTAAACAAAGATTCATGAAGTAACTAATCTTTCGATTACCATAGCCATGAATTCTGGCCATAATTCTGCTCTGTTGCCCAGGCTGGAGTGCAGTGGCACCATCTCGGCTCATTGCAGCCTCCACCTCCCGAGTTCAAGTGATTCTCCTGCCTCAGCCTCCCGAGTAGCTGGGATTACAGTCATGCGCCTTCATGCCCGGCTAATTTTTGTAGTTTTAGTAGAGACAGGGTTTCACCATGTTGGCCAGGCTGGTCTCAAACTCCTGACCTCAGGTGATCTGCCCGCCTCGGCCTCCCAAAGTGCTGGGATTACAGGTATGAGCCACTGTGGCTGGCCAGTTCTGGCCATAATTCTAAAACCTAACTTCAGGACTAAAGCTCTCAAGAAGACTGGTGTTTTTGTTTTTGTTTTATAACAACGCTCCCATGTACTTGCATGAGTTAAATGCTGGTAGAGCAGATACTAGAGGATAATATAACCTGCCTGGATATCAAGTACATACCAGTCCTCAGGGACTGGCATAGATGGTGGAGATGCCCCATTTCCTGAATATACATTTTTTGTAACTTCTTACAGTTAAGATAGCTGAGTCAGCATTTTAACTGTTTATTAACAATGGAAACACATGGAATTTGAGTCATATTTCTGGGAAGGCAACAGATTCCATACTGGTAAGAAATTTTGTGTTCCCTTTTTGTGAGAATCGTAAACTGATGACAAATATCACTCATTCCGATTTAACAGATGGAAAAACTGAAGTATACAGTAGTGATGCTTAAGAAGGGCGCTATGCATAGCTGGTAAAATTTACCACCTATGTAGTATGATTTGATAGGTGCTTACATTCCTCAGTGTCACAGATTTTGTCCCCTGACAATCTGCCGGCATACCTGTAATTCCTACTGTTCACAGTTACTCCTTCAGGGCCATTTCAAGGTTCTCAATAAATGCTTATTTGAGTGATTGAACAAACAAGATACTAAAGACATAGAGTGCCTTAAATTGGATAGATGCCTTATCTGAAAAGTGTAAGATTATCGACTCTAGCATTATTTTGAATATATGTATACGATTTAACCCATTATTAGCTACTACTTAGGTGCCGGGTTTTGATGGAGTAGTATCCAGTAGGCTGATGTTTTATGTAGTGAAGATGTAGGAAAACGCTAGAGTTTTAGAGCAGCGCCTTTGGCTTCTAGGATCTTAGGGAAAGTAGGAGATGTGATACGCTTAACTAACCTGGATGCCACGTGAGATTTATTTATTTATTTTTGAAACAGGGTCTAGCTGTGTCACCCAGGCTGCAGTGCAGTGGCATGATCACGGCTCACTGTAGCCTGGACCTCCTGGGCTCAAGTGATCTTCCCACCTCAGCTTCCCAAGTAGCTGAGACCCCACCATGCCTGGCTAATTTATTATTATTATTATTATTTGTAAAGATGGGGTCTTGCTTTGTTGCTCAGGCTGGTCTCGAACTCCTGGGCTCAAATGATCCTCCTGCCTCAGCCTCCCAAACTGCAGGTATTACAGGCATGAGCCACCATGCCTGGTCTGCATGAATTTTGAAATATCAAAAGGAAGTAAATAAGATGGGAGAGATGCACCGTTCCTGGGTTTCTGGAGGTATTGAAATACAGGTTGATGTGTAGAGTGGTGGAGCAAACTCCTATTCCATCTCCTTGCTTCAAAAACCCATTTAACATATTTTCCTTGGATAGAGAATGTGTCAAATATTAAACTGTTAAGAACAGATACTACACTTGATCTTAGCCAAAAGGATAAGTTTCACTGGAGTAGCCTGCAGTAGATCTGGAGCTTCTCTTCTGGAGACCACTTAAGAGGCTACTTTAATAGGTGAAAAGATGATAAGGAATTAAAAAAAGGAACATTTCAGTGGTAACAGAGAGGCAGGGACAGATGGAAATATTTCAGGAATAGCATGGAAGATAATATTCCGCATCACCTGCACTCTGATTCACTCTGGTAAATGGGACACGTGGGGGATCGGCTTCCTAAGCTATCCCAGTACTTCACACATGTTTGTTTCTGTGCCCATGAAATCGCCAGTGTCTTTAAGGTAAGGATCATATATTTTTATCTGTGTTCCTAGAACCCTTTCAAAGACACGCTGAAAGGTGGCCTGTATGGTTGCTGAATCATTGGTAAATAGACATTCATAAATGACTAAAGATTACAGGTTATCTCACAGTAAAATCATTAGCATTAAAAGTTCAGTAATGACTGATGAGACACTACACTGATTACATTTCAACCTAATCTTTCAAAAGCGATTTATTTTTAAAAGTCTCCATTAAACTGGCAAATTCCTCATCCCACAAATAGCCATAAAGACTGGAGTACCAGCTTCAAAATACTTTTTTTTCTTTTTTCTTTTTGAGACGAAGTCTCGCTCTTGTTCCCCAGGCTGGAGTGCGATGGCGCGATCTCTGCTCATTGCAACCTCCGCCTCCCGGGTTCAAGCGATTCTCCTGCCTCGGCCCCCCAGTAGCTGGGATTACAGGCGCCTGCCACCACGCCCGGCTAATTTTTGTATTTTTTTTTTTTAATAGAGACGGGGTTTTACCATGTTGACCAGGCTGATCTAGAACTCCTGACCTCAGGTGATCTACCGGCCTCGGCCTCCCAAAGTGCTGGGATTACAGGCCACCCACCCAGGCCACCGCGCCCGGCCTCAAAATACTTTTTTCCTTAGCTGATTTTATCGAGTGGCTATGTGCCTAAGGGAGTGTTCTAAGCAGACGTTAGTTAGGACCCAGAACGTGGGAAGTACTGGTTTCCAGATCAATTTGGTGGTGATCGTAAACCGATTCAAATCTCTAAATCCCAATTGCACGCCGACGTTACGGAACCAAAAACGCTGACGCCCACATTTCTGGGCGGACGCACAAGTATGTTACGATGGCTCGATTGCTTTTGCCTAGCGGAAACCATTCACTAAGGACCGAGCACCAAATAACCAAGGAAAAGGAAGTGAGTTAAGGACGTACTCGTCTTGGTGAGAGCGTGAGCTGCTGAGATTTGGGAGTCTGCGCTAGGCCCGCTTGGAGTTCTGAGCCGATGGAAGAGTTCACTCATGTTTGCACCCGCGGTGATGCGTGCTTTTCGCAAGAACAAGACTCTCGGCTATGGAGTCCCCATGTTGGTGAGTGGAGTGAGGAGGATCTTCCGCAAGGGGTGGGACCCTCCTCCTTGGCAGGATCAAGACCTGGGAGGGAATCTGTAAAATGTGAAGTTAAGGGCTGGCACTCGGGCTAGGAAGGAGCTAGCGACGGGGTGAGAGCTTTCCTAAAAGCTCTTCCACCAGTCTTTTCCACACCCCCACTTCCCCGCCGCTGTCCCCCACTCCCGGTTGGATTTCAGGTGTACTAGGATCTGTCTGCTTGTGAGCGTGGCGTCTTTCCCATCGTCGAACGCGGTCATTGTTACTACCCTTGATTCACAGTTAAGTAAATTGAAGCTCAGAGAATTCAGTCAGAACCACACTTTAAGCCAAGTTTGGATGATTACTAAGCTTGCTTCCTCGCCCCCAACTTAGCTATGTTTTGACGATACTGTGGATCATTGGGACTAGATGTATTCCATTTAACTGCACGAATTCCTGGTATCTTTCTGTTTCATCTTTCTAGTTTGTGAATTAGCTTAATACTTAGAGTTGTGATGAACTAATAACACCTTGTGAATAAAGTGTTGAGTACGGTGCCTGCCACATTGTAGCCAGAATGATTGCTGTGTTATAATTTCTAAAGCACGTTGAAAACAGCTTCCGTGTTTATATGGTTTCATCCATATCCACACTGAGTTCCCTAAGGATGTCATGAAATGCAGGCTGAGGCTGGCTTAAGACAACCAGAGTTGAAATCCAGATGACTCTTATTTGCTTTTTGATTACGGGCCAGTTATTTTGCTTCAGCAAGCCTTGATGTGTTAGTAAATGAAATAATTAAAGCATATGAACAAAAGCTGCTTTTAAATACAGACTATATTTTTATTTTGTATGAATGTTGGCGCAGATGAAATTACCAGCTTTTCCATTTAAGCAGACTAAAGGAAAGAAGTGATCTTAGAAAGGTAATGGATATTTTACACAGTTTTGAAAAATCCACATTCATCAAATGTGGATTTTAGGAATCTCCAAAAGATTCACCCATTTGAAGTATCTGGGCCAAGCACGATGGCTCACACCTGTAATCCCAGTGTTAGGGGAAGCCAAGACAGGAGGATCGCTTTAGGTCAGGAGTTCCAAACCAGCAAGACCTCTGTCTCTCCAAAAAAAAAAAAAAAAAAAAAAATTGTTGTTTTTAGCAAATTCGATATTAGTATACTAATATATTCGTATATTAGTATATTCTTAGTTATGGAGCCATCACCACAATTTTAGAACATTTTCATTGCCCCCAAAAAAGCATCATAACTAATAGTAGTCACTTCCCATTTCTTCCTGCCTCTTAATGCTGGCCTGGTAAACCACTAATCTACTTCTACCCGTAAATTTGCTTATTCTGCACATTTCATATTAACACACTAATACAACGTGGGTTTTTTGTGACTGGATTCTTCCACTTAGAATGTTTTTAAGGTTCATTCACATTGTAACATATATCAATACTTCATTCCTTTTGATGGATATAATTCCATTGTTTGGATATATTTTATCAATTGATGAACATTTGGGTTGTTTCAATTTTTGACTATTATGAATAATGCTGCTATGAACATTTATGTACACGCTTTGTGTGGAAGTATGTTTTCATTTCTCTCAGGTAGGGAATATACCTAGACGTGGAATTGCTAGGTCATATGGTAACTCTTCAACTTTTTAGGATGTGCCAGATGTTTTCCAAAGTGGCTGCATCATTTTACATTCCCACCAGCAAGATATGATTTTCAATTTCTCCACATCCTTGCCAACACTTGTTATTGTCCATCTTTTGAATTATTACCCTTTCTAGTAGGTGTGAAGTGATACCTCATTGTGGTTTTGATTTTCATTTCCCTAACGACTTATTATGTTGAGCATCTTTTCAAATGTTTATTGGTCATTTGAATATCTTTTTGGAGAAATGTCTGTTCAAATCCTTTGCCCATTTTTTAATTGGACTATGTTTCCTTTTATTGGACAGAGGTTTCTTTAAAACCCAAAACCAACAAATCTGCCAGTCTTTGTCGAGAGGCTCTGCATGCTTTTTTGGGCATGCTTTCAACATTCAGCCATGCAATTTACAGCTCCATGTATAGCCTTCACTTCTTACTTGCTCAGAGCTTCAAATTAGTCATAAGTTGAGAATTTAGGGCCTTCTCAGGTCTTTCTTGGGCATATACATTGCTCTGGGCATGTACACAGTTCTAGTTATTTGCATGACTTTCTAAATTCTCAGGAATATATTTGAGCTTTTCAGAGTCCTCTAAGGACACCTTATTCCTATTATCTACCACATCAGACAGTCATAATGTTAAACAATTACCTCTGAATTTTTTTTTTTTTTTTTTTTTTTTTTTTTTTTTGACAAACGCTTCCTAGGAGAAGTCTGTTCATACTAGTTGAGCTCCATGTCAGGTAAACTACAGAGAGCTTTGTGAATAGCATCTTCCAGGAAGTACCAGACTGGTGAAATGATGACATTTCTCACAGAATGGTGTTTTAAAGAGCTCCAACCTCTCTACCCTCTTCACTTGGTGCCAGGCTTTACATCATGTTTGCAGGCTGTTGGTTTTCATGGTTGTTACGGAGCTTGGGTGGAGGGGTGAGAATATGACAAATTAAAAATGCCACCAAGCTGTTCTTCCTGAGATTCAGGCATTTTTCTTAGGTAAATACTGTGCACATTGTTGCAAGTTTTTGCTTAATTTTCAGAGTTCTAAAAAAGTTTATTTGACAATTTTTTACAAATATTCTCGTTTTTGTGGAGGAAAGGATTTTTGGAGATACTCCACCATGTCACTGATATCACCCTTTGGTTCTTCTTTATATCTTCTATGTCTTTGGCGAGATTTTCTAATTTTCCATTTGTTTCAAGAAAATCTGTTGTTGTTTGAAGTATTTTTATGATGTTTCCTTTGAGGTCTTCGTCATCTTTGTCAGATAATTCTAATCTCTGATTTATCTCTGTGTTAGCATCTCTCCATAGCCTTTTTAAAATTCAAGTTTGTCTTAGTCCATTTGTGTTGCTAGAAAGCAGGGGTCCTCAACCCCTGGGCCACGGACTGGTACTGGTTTGTGGCCTGTTAGGAACTGGGCTGCACAGTAGGAGGTGAGCAGTAGGTGAGTGGGCATTATTGCCTGAGCTCCACCTCCTGTCAGATCAGAGGTGGCATTAGATTCTCATAGGAGCACGAGTCCTATTGTGAACTGCACATGTGAGGGATCTAGGTTGCATGCTCCTTATGAGATCTAATGTCTGATGATCTAAAGTGGAACAGTTTCATCCCCAAACTGCCATCCCACCCCCCACCCCCGCCACCATCTGTGGAAAAATGGTCTGCCATGAAACTGGTCCCTGGTGCCAGAAAGTTTGGGGACCACTGTTGCTATAAAGGAATACTAGAGGCTGGGTAATTTATAAAGGAAAGAATTTTCTTTTGGCTCATGGTTCTGCAGGCTGTACATACTGTGAAGCACGGCACAGCATCTGCTTCTGGTGCGGGCCTCAAGCTGCTTCCACTTGTGGCAGAAGGCAAAAGGGAGCCAGCATGTGCAGAGATCACATGCCAAGAGAGAGGGGAGGGAGGTGGCAGGCTCTTTTTGACAACCAGCTCTCAAGGGAACTAATAGAGTGAGAACTCACTCATTACCACAAGGACAGCCTCAAGCCTTTCGTGAGGGATCTGTCCCCATGACCCAAACACCTCCCACTAGGCCTTCCCTCCAACATTGGGGGTCAGATTTCAACAGGAGGTTTGGAGGGTCAAATATCCAAACTTGAGTAAAGTTATTTTCCTGGTTCTTGTCATGACAATGGAATTTGTATTATATCTTGAACATTTTAAATATTAGGAAATGATATCCTATTTAAGTCTTCTAGTTTAGCAGGATGTCGTCATGTTTAACTTGTAGGCAGTAGCCTACTATAATATTTTGGGCTCCCTTTCCTGGAACTTAGGTTCCAGATTTTGCAGTACTAATCTGGTCTGCTTTGTTCACCCGGTGGTACTGGGATTCGTGCTTGATCATGTCTGTATGGAATGTTGTAATCAACATATGCTTTTAAAGCCATAAGATTGATTAAGATTACAAAATAAGTGAATAGAGAAGAAGAGAAAACATTGTGCCCTGAGGTATGCCAACATTGGAGAGTTGAGGTATACAGGAGGAAACAATCAAGGAGACTAAGAAAGAGTGACTCTGTGGCAAAAGAAAAACCAGATATGAGGGAAGAGGAGGAGAGTGTGATCAATTGTATGAAATTTTATTCATGAAATCAGATGAAAATAAGTAAATCACCAGATTTAGTAATGTGGATGTCATTGATGGTTGGAATGGATCTAAGAGAGAGTAGGAAGAGCAGCTAGTATAGGCAACTCATTTGAGAAATTTTTCTGCATATAGGAACAAAGAAAGAGGTTGGTATCTGGTGGGAAAGTGGTGTCCAGGAAAGTTTGTTAATAAGATAGGAGAAATAATAGCATTTTTATGCTGGATCCTGCAGTGGTGAGCAAGATTTTGATGATACAGGAAAGGAGAGAATTGATGAATCAGTGTCCTTCAGTAGATAAGAGAAGATTGGAGATAAATGAAGATATTTAGTTAGGAGTGTGGATTCTATGGTAACAGGCAGTAAGTGTTGCAGTGCAATTCAAACACCACACACACACACACACACACGCACACACACACTCTATGCATAGTCCTGCACAAAACTCCCCTAACTTCCTACACCAGGCATAACCCCAGGTTTAAGCCACCCCCTCAGGTTCAATAATTTAGTAGAACTACTCATAGAACTCAGGAGAATACTATACTTATGATTACAGTGTTATTATAAAGGATATAAATTAGGAACAGCCAAAAAAAGAGACTCATATGTCGAGGTCCAGGAGGGTCCTGCATGCAGAGCTTCTGTGTTCTGTCCCCATGGGATCAGGGCATGTCACCCTCCTTGCACATTGATGTGTTTACCAACCAGGGAGTTCAACCAAGTTTCACTGTCCAGAATTTTTACTGGGGTTTCATTATATAGGCATGGGTGATTGAACCATTGGCCATGTGACTGAACTGTCTCCAGCTCTCCTCTTCTCCCTTGAGGTTTGGAGGTTGGGTTGATATCACATAGCTCAAAGCCCCAGCCCTCTAGTCACATGGCTGGACTTTTCAGCATGGCCTGCCTGTATCTTTTCATTGAAACTGAAACAAAAGTTATTTTGCGTATACAAATCTTACATTTTGACATTGCAGGTATTAGCTGCTTATCTATAACAGATATTTTTTCTGATTTGTTCTCTTTTGATTTTATGTTGTTTTTATTTCATTTATTTGTCAGCATAGAAGTTTTATTTATTATTATTATTGTTGTTTTTTTAAGAGAGGAGGTCTTGCTGTGTTGCCCAGGCTGGTCTTAAACTCCTGGCCTCAAGTGATTCTCCCACCTCAGCCTCCGGCGTAGTTGGGATTACAGGGATAAGCTACCATACCCACCCAGAAGTTTTAAATTTTTATGTGGTCACATATACTTGGTTTTGAAATTTATAGCCTCTGATGATAAAATCTTCTGATGGGAAAAAAAATGAAATTCATAACCTCAAGGTTTTGTTGGTATTCTCAACTTCAAAATTATAAACATTTATGTTTTATACCTTTTAATATTTAATTCTTTAATTGGTATATAAATATATTTATAAAAAAAAGGAAGGTAGGGGCCGGGCGCAGTGGCTCACGCCTGTAATCCCAGCACTTTGGGAGGCTGAGGCAGGTGGATCACAAGGTCAGGAGTTTGAGACCATCCTGGCCAATATGGTGAAACCCTGTCTCTACTGAAAATATAAAAAATTAGTCGAGTGTGGTGGCAGGCGCCTGTGGTCCCAGCTACTCAGGAGACTGAGACGGGAGAATTACTTGAGCCTGGGAGGTGGAGGTTGCAGTGAGCTGAGGTCACACCACTGCACTCCAGCCTGGGTGACAATGCAAGACTCTGCCACACACAAAAAAATATGTGTATATCTATCTATCTATCTATCTCTATGTGTGTGTGTATGTATATATATATATTTATATATGTGTGTATATATATGTGTGTATATGTGTGTGTATATATATGTGTATGTATATATATATAAAATTATATATAAATTAAATTAAAAGAAAGGTAGGGATCAAACTTTATTTTTTTCCAAATGGCTACATCTTTCAGCTTCAGAATGATGGATTAAAGCTAATTAGATTTTTTTTCTTTTTCTTTCTTTTTTTTTTTTTGACAGAGTCTCACTCTGTCACCAGGCTGGAGTACAGTGGCGCAGTCTTGGCTCACTGCAACCTCCACCTCCCAGATTCAAGCGATTCTCCTGCCTCAGCCTCCCGAACAGCTGGGACTACAGGTGCGTGCCACCACACCCGGCTACTTTATGTATTTTTAGGAGAGATGGGGTTTCACCGTATTGGCCAGGCTGGTCTTGAACTCCTGACCTCGTGATTCTCCCGCCTTGGCCTCCCAAAGTGCTGGGATTACAGGCATGAAACTAATTAGATTTTTGGATGACATGATAAAGTAGCAATGACAACTTGGGGATCTTTTAAGGTTACCACATACTGAGAAGTGTGGTAAATTTCATGAGATTTCTTTTTTTCTTTAGAAAAAAGTGGCAGTATTTACTTAAGAAGTGAAGATGTCATTTATCTGACCCAGAAATTCCATTACTGGATATTTTTTCTCCAGTATATGTGTACAAAAACAAATGTAGTTGGGAGGCTGAGGCAGGAGGATCTCTTGAACCCGGGAGGCAGAGGTTGCAGTGAGCCGAGATCGCGCCACTGCACTCCAGCCTGAGTGACAGAGCGAGACTCTGTCTCAAAAAAAAAAAAAAAAAAGAAAAAAAAAGAAATATATTTGTGTTAGAAAATGTATGAGTGAGTAGTGCACATAAATAATGTATGTAATATGCATTATGTTTACATATATATAATTATATAACATGTAGTTATAAAAATATCATATGTATGACACACATACAAATATAAAAAGATCTCCACTGGGTGTGGTGGCTCATGCCTGTAATCCCAGCACTTTGGGAGGCTGAGGCGGGTGGATCACTTGAGCCCAGGAGTTCAAGACCAGCCTGGGCAACATGGTGAAACCCCGTATCTAGTGAAAATACAAAAATTAGCTGGGTATGGCAGTGGATGCTTGTAATCCCAGCTACTCGGGAGGCTGAGGCAGGAGAATTGCTTGAACCTGGGAAGCGGAGGTTGCAGTGAGCCGAGATCGCTCCTCTGCACTCTAGCCCAGGCAACAGAGGGAGACTTGGTCTCAAAAAATAAATAAATAAATAAAAAAGTACAGACCAGTATTATATACTACACGTAAGTATCAATTCCTGGGTCAAATAAATGACATCTTCACTTCTTAAATAAATATTGCCAGGTTTTTCAAAAGAAAAAAGAAATCACATGAAATTTACCACACTTCCCAGTATGCAGTAATCTTAAAAGATCCCCAAATTGTCATTGCTGCTTTATCATGTCATCCAAAAATCTAATTAGCTTTAATCCCTCATTCTGAAGCTGAAAGTTCTAGCCATTTGCAAAAAAATAAAGTTTGATCCCTACCTTCCTTTTTATATAAATATACTTGTATTACCAATTAAATGATTAAATATTAAAAGGTATAAAACACTATAAAACATAAACTTTTATAATTTTGAAATTAAGAATACCAACAAAACCTTGAAGCTGTGACATTATTCCAGAAATCATTCAACTATCAAACAAGAGAATGAGTAAATAAACTGTGTTCTGTTTTTATAATGGAATACCATATAGCAAAGAAAATTAACTATAGCTGCATACAATATACTTTAATCTAAAATACATAATTTCTCACTAAAAAAAGTTACACCAAAGAATAGTTTTAATAAAATTCAAAAACAGAAAAGGCTTAATTATAGAATTTAGTTATTATATATAGATGGTAAAGTAAAGAAGAAAATCAAGAAGTGAATGCAATAAAATCTAGCTTTTGTGTTAACGGTAAAGAGAGGAAGGTTACCCTTTTATCTGCAAGGGGTATATGTGTTGGCAGTATTCTATTTGTTAAACTGGGTAGTTAATGCATTGTAGTTTATGTTACAATTATTATCTCTAAATTAATGCTTTATATACACTTTTGTGTGTATTTATTAATAAAATATTAATGCAGTGTGCAAGATGGTAAGCACGATGCATATTATGTCTCCGTTTGTATTAAAGGGAGAGTGTGGTATGTTTAAAATGTCTGTGCTTATACATGGATTGATGATTTTTTGAAGGACAACCAATAAGTTGGAAACAGTGGTTATATTGGGGGGAAAGACATAAATAAGATAGAAATTGTACCCTTTGAGTTCAGGCAAAATACTACCCTAATGAGGGCTCCCTACCCCTTTCATCCCCCCTTGAAGAATGGCTTCAGTCATTTAGTAGAAGGGCTAAGCTTTTGAAAATATTATTTTCTTCTTTTGTTAAATCAGCAAAATGTCAGGTATGTCTGCTTTTTCTGAGTTGTGTAAATTCCACAGTTAGGCTGATGCAAAAATATTTGAAGTCCAGTCTATAGAAGTTTTCAGTTAGCTGCTTTGAGATACAGCATTTGGTATTAACAAAGTTCCACAACATAAACCTTTGTAATACATTGCAGCACTGAAGATAGCAAATTGACCTAAAAGCACAAAAAGATGAATTAACCAAATGAATTGGATGAACTATTGTTTGTTCATTTTTAATTGTACTCAAATTATATTTCTTATTAGGGGAAAATGATAGGAGAACAGAAAGTAAAATATTAAACATTAAAATTGTTATTCTACTAAACACGTATAGTTAGGTGTAAGTTGGACAAAATCATTTGTGTGTTGTTGTTTTTAGAGAATACATTTATAAATGCAATGACAGTATTGTAAATATGTTTTCTTTGCATAGGAGAAGATAACTCTTAGTTAGCTGTCACTGCTGTATTGCTTCAATATGAGGTGAGAGGTGACCCAGCTGACTATTTGTAAGGTTCTTGTATTGGTTTGAACCCCGAGAGCGCGCCAATGTACAACACTGAGGCGGTATGGAGCAACATGCTGTTTTAATGAGCGCCTGGGTGCAGGCGGGCTGAGGCCTAAAATGGCGTCAACCCCAAGTGAGGACGGGACGAAAGTTTTACAGTCTCCTGTAAACAGGAAGTGTCCTAGTCTGACGTAATTGCTAAGTTGTAACTGGATTGGCCTCTTTCTGGGTCTTCAGGGGTGTGTCTTCCGGCCGGCTCTCTTCCTGCTTCTGCTATCTTCCTGGCGCACCCTGCTGGCGCAAGTAGCCTTGAGCCTTGGGACTGGGCCTGAGAAGGGAAGAGTTTTTCTTTCATCTCCTTAAGCTTTCAGGCCCCGGGGAGAATCTTACATTCCTGTCTATTTGGTTATAGAAAAGGGAAAAGGGATGACTTTCTCAATAACTACTTCAGGCGTGACATAGGGGTGGCGTGGGCACCTTGGAAAAAGAAAACCTTAATTTTTTGGGTATTCTTGAGAGACGGGCTGGTGTCCACCATGTCGTTGTATCAGGAGCATCATCTGGATTGTCTGGAAACACATCTGTGCCTGCAAGACAGTTATGTTGAGAGGACAAGGCGGTGTGGACAGGGAGAGGCATGGCCTCATTTGCTGCTTCACAAATGAAAGACCCTGTCTGGATTAAGGAGGGAAGGTAATTCCTGAAGGGCTCAGAGTCTGGTAAGGGTGGAGGCCCCAAGACAAAAGTTCAGCCATACATGATTGCAAAGGGACTATAAAAAGAGGGTGCTTTTGGTGTTGCGCAGAGCCTTATGAGGGCAAAAGGGAGATTTTTTTTGTCCACAACTGCTGGGTTTTTAGAGCCAGCTTGGTGAGTTGGGCTTTAAGGACAGAGTTCATTTTTTCAACTTTGCCTGAAGATTGAGGCCTGTAGGGTGTGTGGAGAACCTACTTTATTCTTAAGGACGTAGAGACGCCTTGGATAATTTGGCTGATTAAGGTGGGCCTGTATCGGACTGGATGGATGTTGGGAGGCCGAAATGGGGAATTATATGCATGATGAGAGTTTGTGTGACATTTGCACCTTCTGAAGTTGTTGGGAACACTTCTGCTTACCTGGAGAAGGTACAGACCAAGACTAGAAGATAGCGGAGCTGTTTATTGGGCGGCATGTGAGTGAAGTTTACTTGCCAATCGTGCCTGGGTATCTGGCCCCGGGCTTGGTGGGTAGGAAAAGGCGGTGGCCGGAGGGAGCCCTGGGGTGACACTGAGTGGCAGATAGAGCAGGACTGGGTAATATCTTGAACATAGCTGGAAAGGTGAGGACAAGTGAGAACAGGGCGGAGAAGTTGCAAGAGAATTTGTAACCAACATGGAAAGTGTTGGGGAGGCTTTGGAGATGAGGAAGGCTTTGAGAGTGAGGAAGAATGAAGTGCCTTTCCTTGACATACCATGGTCCTTGCTTTTGAAGGTTTTGGGCTCAGAAGTCCTCCTTTTCTTCTGAGGAGTAAAGAGGAGAGAACAAGGACAGGGACAGAAACTGGCCTTGCATGGGTTGCAGGGCTACTTGTTTGGCTACCTGATCTGCTAGCGCATTTCCAGCCGATATAGGATTGTCCCGGGTTTGGTGGCCCCTGCAATGAATGAAGGCAGCTTTCTGCGGGAGTCTGGCAGCTTGAAGGAGCTTGCTGGTAAGAGAGCCATTTATGACAGGAGTGTTTTTTGCAGTTAAAAAACCTTGTTCTTTCCACATAGACGAGTGTGAGTGTACTATATGGAACGCATAATGAGAATCTGAATATATGTTAATTTGTTGTCTGGTTACTAGAGTGAGATCTTGAGTGAGAGCAGTGCATTCAGCTTTTTGGGAGGTGGTGCCTGGGGGAGCGGATTGGCTTCAGTAGTGTGTGTGAGGGGGTGACACTATATCATAGCCAGCATGCCGGCATCCTTGACATAGGAAGGAGCTGCCATCTACAAACCAAGTAAAGGAGGCATCTGGAAGGGGTTGGGCTGTTAGGTTTGGAAAAGGTGTAAGAAAGGTTTGAACAGTGTTCACACAGAAGTGTGTAGGGTATTGGGCGGTTGTAGCTTCAGGAAAGAGCATGGCAGGGTTTACATGAGAGCTGGTTAGCACGGTGATTTGGGGGGTTTCTATGAACAGAGCATACAGTTGGAGGAGCCGTGGGGCAGAGATGAGACTTAGTACACTGTGGTGAGCTAGCATGTCTTTGATATTATGGGTTGAATAAACTGTTAGGTTGGCATGGAGAGATAGTTTTAGGCTTTCAAGGATGAAGACAGCAGCTGCCTCCAGTGCTTGGAGGCAGGCAGACCATCTGAGAACTGTGGCTTCAAGCTGTTTGGAGAGGTAGGCGATAACCTGGAGGGTGGGTCTCTTAGACTGGGTTAGAACACCTAGTGCAACTCTACACGTTCGTTGGTATAGAGGGAGAAAGGTTTGGTGAGGTCTGGGAGAGTGAGGATGGGGGCTGAGATGAGAGTCTTCTGGAGTAGATGGAAAGGTTGGGTAATAGGCTATGCAGGGTTTGAAGGCTCATGGAGAGGGCCTTTAGTGTCTTGGTATAATGGTTTGGCAAGTAGAGCAAAGGAGGGAACCCAGAGCCTAACATATCCCACTAGTCCTAGGAAAGAGAATTTCTTGCTTAGTTTGCAGAGGTGGGAGAGACTGGAGGAGGGATATGTGGTCGGTTGTGAGCCCTCGGGTTCATGGGGTAAGAGCCAGGCCTAGATAAGTGACTAAGGGGGCTCATATTTGTGCTTTCTTAGGGGAGACCCGATACCTCCGTTCTGCCAAGAAGTTTAAAAGAGAGAGATAGCATGGGCGTTGCAGTCTCTTTGAGAGGGGCTACACAGGAGCAGATCATTAACACATTGAAGGAGAGTGGACGGTTTTAGGGATAAGGTACAGAGGTCATGAGCAAGGGCCTGTCCAAAAAGATGGGGGCTGTCTCTGAAACCTTGAGGTAGTACGCACCAGGTGAGCTGATGTGAAAGGTGGGTGTCGGGGTTTTCCCATGTAAAGGCAAAGAGGTTTTGGGAATCAGGGTGTAAAGGAATTGTGGAAAAAAGCATCCTTTAGGTATAGAACAGGAAAATGGGTGGTATTGGAGGGAATTGCAGAAAGTAAAGTATATGGGTTAGGAACTACTGGACATACTGGGAGTACAGCTTGGTTAATGAGCCTGAGGTCCTGGACTAAGTGATAAGTTCCATCTGGCTTTTAAACAGGTAGAACTGGTGTGTTAAAAGGAGAGTTTCTTGGGTGGAGTAGGTGACTGGTGAGGCGGCGAGAAATGATAGGCTTTAGGCCTATGAGAGCTGCTTGGGGGATGGGATACTGCTTCTGTGATAGGAACTGGGTGGACTCTTTAAGGGTAATGCGGACGGGGGTGTGGTGTTTTGCGACTGAAGGTGTGGAAATATTCTAAACAGCGGGGTTAACTACGGATGGGGGATAAGGTAAAGTTGCATGTTTTAAGGTGGCAGGTTGGAGGAGTAGAAGAAAGTTAGATGCCCCGAGGGGTCTGGGTTGATGCGTTGGGTACTATGGGGAATGTGCAAGTGGAGAGTAGTGTGGAGTTTTGAAAGGATGTCTCTGGTATGAGGGCAGGACTAAGAAAGGGTGACTGAAGGAAAAGGTGTGCAGGGAGCAGAAAAGTGGAGGGGTGGCTCAGGGTTTGGAGTCTTGTCTGTCAATTCCCACAACGGAGAAAAGGGAGGACTGGGTGTGTCCTGAAAAATTAGGTAAAGCAGAGTAGTTTGCCCGGTATTAATTAAAAAAAAAATACTGGCCTACCTGCCACCATCAGGGTTACCCTTGGCTCGGATGAAGCGATGGTAGTTGCCGGGGCATCCATTCCAGGGCACCATCAATCTTCAGCGGCAAGGCCAATGAGATCCAAGTAGGAGGTTTTGGCCGGCTTAGGAAGTGATGGGGCCGCCCTTGCAGGGGCCGCTCACAGTCCAATTTCCATTGGGGTCCTCTGCAGAGGGGGCATGGCCTGGTGGGCTTACCTGGATTTGGGCATTGTCTGGACCAGTGGCCTTCATTGCCGCACTTGAAAAGGTGCCAAGTGGAGGTAGGTTGCTAGGAGGCTTCCGTGTGGAGCTGCGGACCCGTGGGCCTGCAGGGCCCCTGATGGCGGAGGCAAGCATTTGAAACTCCGCCTGTTTTTGCCTTTTACTTTCCCTATCACGATTGTTAAAGACTATGAAGGCTAAATTAAGACGGTCTTGTGAGGTTTGAGGGCCATCATCAAGCTTCTGAAGCTTGCACCGAATATCGGGGGTGGATTGGGAGATGAACCGAAGGTTTAAGATAATGGTTCGTTCTGAGGGTTTGAAGGGGGAAGGAGGGTTAACAGGCAGTGGAGGATAGGCAGGGGCGTAAGGTGGCGGGATGAGTTTACAAGCTTTAGGAGAGGGCAGTGGGGGAGGAGAATGGGTACAGGCAATACTAGAATTGTCCCGAGGAGGGGATGGTGTAGGAAAAGAAGTGGATACAGCTGACTGGGAAGATGGCAGCTGGGAAGATGGCAGCTGAGAAGACAACGAGGAGGCTTGGGGGGTTAAAAAAGATGGTTGAGAGGAAAAGGT
The DNA here is from genome assembly GCF_000001405.40 of Homo sapiens. NCBI lineage: Eukaryota > Metazoa > Chordata > Mammalia > Primates > Hominidae > Homo > Homo sapiens. The sequence continues at coordinate 70,345,866 of NC_000014.9, read as the reverse complement.
AGGGGTTGGGAGGGGTGGATAGCAGTCAGTTGGATCGAACGAGAAAAATGAGGTAGGGTCGGGAGGAGAAAGGCGATCAGGGCGGTGAGAATGGAGGGGAAGGATTTGAACAGGTAAGCAAGAATTGCAGAGGTTGGGTTGTGAACTGAGTGCAAAAAGGCCTGGACATAAGGAATTTCTTCCCATTTTTCCAGTCGTCGGCAATAATTGCTTAAGTCAGTTAAAATTGTAAAGTTGAATGTTCTATTTGCAGGCCATTTGGACCCATTATTTAATTTGTACTGTGGCCAGGCTGTATTGCAAAAAAGACAGGTACTTAGAGCGAATATCTTGCCTGAGGCCTAAGGTTTGCAGGTTTTTTATGAAGCAGCCTAGAGGGCTGTTGTTTGGAATGGAGGACCGGAGTTTCCCATAACAGAGGGTAGGCTCAGGAGAACAGGGAAAAAGGAGACCATCCTGGAGGGAGATGATAAAAGGAGCAACTGTCACCGCTGCCTTTTTCGTTCCTGGAACACGATCAAATGGCTTAGAGGCATCCCCCTAAGACCAGATGATCAGCGAGTGCCTGGCACACGCCGGCGCCTTCTTGGACCAACACTGGATATTCGGACCAGAGAAACTAAGAGAGGCCGTGTGAATTTTCCCTGCTAACTGGGCCCCTGAGGAAACTTACCAGTAAGCAAGATCAGTGACCAATGTGCATGCACAGAGAGGCAACTGGAGATCGAGGAGCTTCCTTTGTCTGGCTGCTGTGGCCTGCTGTCTGGGGTGGAGGGGTAGGTTCACAGGGGACGTGGACCAGAACCTCTCCCGGGTTTCAGCACCAGATGTACGGTTCTTGTATCGGTTGGAACCCTGAGAGCGCACCAACAGACAACATGAGGTGGTGAGGAGCAACATGCTGTTTTGATGAGCGCGTGGGTGCAGGTGGGCTGAGGCCTAAAATGGCATCAGCCCCAAGTGAGGATGGGACAAAGGTTTTATAGTCTCCTGTAAACAGGAAGTGTCCTAGTCTGACATAATTGCTCTGTTGTACCTGGATGGCCTCTTTCTCAATCTTCAGGGGTACGTATTTTCCGGCCGGCTCTCTTCCTGCTTCTGCTATCTTGCTGGTGCACACTGCTGGTACAAGTAGCCTTGTGCCTTGGGACTGGGCCTGAGAAGGGATGAGTTGTTCATCTCCTTAAGCTTTCAGGTCCCAGGGAGAATCTTACACTATTCATCCCTGCTCTGAGATGTCAGGGAAATCTACAGGTGTCTTCTGAAATCCAAAGTCCATTCTAAGCTTGTTTTATAAGAGCGACACACAATAAGTAATGGTGAGTGAGTTTCTCCTTGTGGTCATTAACTTTTGTAGCAATACTGAAACCGCCTTTGCAAAATTATAACTGAGGAAATTATGACAATGAAAGAAATCAGACCTAACTGACTCCATCTTGCTTCTAACCTGTAAGCTGCCCTTGTTCATTCCTGGGCATAGGCCGAACTATGGGAAGGAATTCAGTTCATGGTTTGACTCTGAAACAAAATTGATAATAGCCCTTTCCCAAAAAGACTCCCTTCTTGCCTGGGGACCAGTCTGCCTTTGCAGGACCAACAAATTAGCTACAAGATTAGAAATTACAGTTTATGGGTCATGCAGCCTCTGGCTCCAAGAGCCTGAACCTCCCAAATTGCTCCTGGGGATAACATCGCTATTGTAAAACCTAACATCAGTTCTTGAGATATTTTGCAGACCCTGCACTGGATGGATCAGCTGACATTACCCAGACGGGTAATTGGGCTCAACCAGTTCTGCCATCCCACCCAGTGACAGAAAACAGCAAGGAAAGCTCACTTTGCCCCCTATGAGTCCAACTCCAAACTGACCAATCAGCACACTCCCCACTTCCCAAGCCCCTACCCACCAAATTATCTAAAAACTCTGATCCCTGAATGCTCGGGGAGACTGATTTGAGTAATAATAAAACTCCGGTTTCCACACAGCTGGCTCTGCAATTCCCCATTGTTATTCCCCATTGTAATTCCCCTGTCTTGATAAATCAGCTCTGTCTAGGTAGCACGCAAGGTGAACCCATTCGGTGGTTACAATTCTTTATTATGAAGTTTAAATCTTTTGAAAATACTGTGCCTCAAATAGGTGCCAGCAAAAACATGAAAGTGATTCTGTATATCTTAAGATGATGTTTCAGAATTTCACTATATAGTAAGAATTTGAAGACTTTCTTTACCTGTGACCTGTATAGCCATATTGTCCCTGGGAATACAATGTGATATACAGAATATTCTGCAGCAAGTTTTCATGAGATTTCTTTATCACTTGGTAAGGTAATGAGAACTCCAATTGCCTTATTTTGAAAAATCATAAAATCAAAAGAATTCTGGTCTTGAAGGAAAAAATGGCAAGTTTTACTGCTGGGTTTACCTTGTGTAATCATAGTACGAAAAGAAGGAAAACCTTAAACAAAAAAACAATAATGTTATAGAGTTTATTTGAACAAAGAAAATTCATGAATCAGGCAGCACTCAGAACCAGAAGTTGAGAGAGCTCCATTCTGCAATATGGGCAATGAGTATAGACAAAACAGGAAAGTGAAGTACAGAAATAGCTTGGTTGGTTATAGCTAGGCATCTGCCTTATTTGGACATGGTCTGATCAGTTGATCAGGTTTCAATTTCATTACTTACTAAGGAAGATCGCATAGCAATGGAATTACAGAGACATCCCTGGGCAAAATTTAAGTTAACAATGGACAAGTCATTTAGCTGGCTGTGCTTTTATTTCCTCATTTGTTGAATTTGTTTTTGTTTTTGTTTTTTTCTTAGCAAAAAACAAAAATAGGTCTATTGTAAGAGTCAGATAATACAATGCTTGTTATGATGTCATTTAAATCATAAGGTCAAATACAGGTATAGGGTGACGATTTTGGTATTTGGTAATGATGTGCTATAATGATTTCCTAGCCAGTATATACTGCATTTACTCTAAAAGATGAATGGTGACTCACCAGGAAAAATAATCTATAGAATTTTTGTATAATGTGCCTCTATTGTTGTTTAGAAAAGCAATCTATAGATAGGCTGAATTTGAATTCTGGTCTTCTGTTTTGCTTAAATGTTTCCTTTCTTTGTTTTAGTTGCTGATTGTTGGAGGTTCTTTTGGTCTTCGTGAGTTTTCTCAAATCCGATATGATGCTGTGAAGAGTAAAGTAAGAAATATAATTAGAGTTTGACATGTGTCTGTCTATATGTATGTTCTGGTTTAGGAGAATTGTATACTCAGTATACTAAGTAGTCTGAGTTTGTCTTGCTTTTCAACACTAAGATGTGATCTTTGTTTTTTTCTTTAAAATAACATTAGTGATCACATGGCAGTGAATCATGAAATGTAACTAATTTCGTAATCTTTCTTTTTTTCTTTTGCCACGGGGTCTCACTCTGTCGCTCAGACTGGAGTGCAGTGGCCTATCCTGGTTCACTGCAACCTCTGCCTCCCAGGCTCAAGCAATTCTCTTGTCTCAGCCTCCCGAGTAGCTGAGATTACAGGTGTGCGCCACTACCACCCGGCTAATTTTTGTATTTTTAGTAGAGATGGGGTTTCACTATGTTGGCCAGGCTGGTCTTGAACTCCTGACCTCAAATGATCCACCCGCCTTGGCCTTCCAAAGTGTTGGGATTACAGGTGTGAGCCACTGTGCCCAGTCTAGTAATCTTTCTTATTTCATTAGGAAATTTGCAATGTTGTTAGCATTCTCCCACAAAATATGATCTGATGTAGCTGTTTTTAGAATTTAGAAGGGATTAAAAAACAGAGGTCAATAATTTTGCTTTATTTTATTTCTCTTAATTTAATATTAATATCAGTAATTGTATAAAGTATATTGATATGTATCTTTAATAACTGTTACTAAAAGGAAAACTATTTTTCAGTATAAATAAAGACAGCTACATTTATAGTATCTACTTTGTAGTAGGACTATATTAGTTCATACACACACACACTCACACACACACAGATGATCCTTGACTTATAATGGGGTTATGTCTTGCTAAACTCATTGTAAATTGAAAATATCATAAGTAAAAAATGCATTTAATATCTGATTAAATGGATCGTAAAGTAAAAGAAACGTACGTTGAAACATTGCAAGTTGGGGCTATATGTTATCGTCTTTATTTTACAGGTGAGGAAACTGAGGGGGTCTATACATTAACTATAGTGGGTCTTTACTTGAAAAAACTGAAGAAAAATAAAGCTTATCTAAGTTGGCTAAGGTCACATGGCTACTTAGGGGTAGAGCTAGGATTCTCACCCTCTAATCACACAATTGTGAAATTCAGGACACATAAGAACTCTGGTTTTTTCATTCAGAAGTACATAGCTTTTGTTTATGGCACATATCTGATATTTGTAGTTTTTTTCTCAAGTAATATATGTATTTTATTAGCAGACCTCAGTAATATTGATAGAAAAGTAGAGTATAAAGTCCTATTCAGTTTCCTCAGTTAATTTTATGGTTTTAGAGAAACCAACATCAGCTAGTTTTAAGGACAGTAGGTATTAGGGTAAATTTTAAATTTAAAAAAATGTGTACTTTCTATGAAGGATTAGAACAATTTTATTTAATGAGGAATTTTACTTAATTTTCAGTTAGCAACTTTCAATTTAACTGTGTTAAAAGCTTTCAGTTAGCATCCCAATTATTTTATCAAGGAATTTTTTTCTTTTTCCCTTTAAGATGAAAATTATGGTAGTATATGACATTTGGAAGGGAGAAAATAAGTATATATTTGAAAAATAATTGAATAGTGGTCATGTGTTAATACTTGTTAGATGCTGCAAGTAAAGTATTCAGAAACTAGTACTTATAAAGTTTATAATTGAGGCTGGAAGACAGCTAATTAAAAAAATGTACCCAGACATATAATATAGCAATGCCAGTAAAATGCCATTACTAGACGTTCAAGGAGAGGTGTATAGTTTTAACTTGGAAAAGGAGAATCAGAGAAAGTTTTCTAAAGGCATTAGCCTTTGAATTAGGCTTTAAGAATGAGTAGGAATTAGCTAAATGATAGAAATGACTTATATTCTATAAGGTAGAGGGATTATTGGGCACATGGTCAGTGTTTCATTTTAGAACTAACTCTCTGGCAGTGGAGTACAGGTGGATGGGTATTGGGGGAGCAAGAGAGAAGAGAAAATATTGTTTAGGTTGGAAGTAAAGAGATCTGTTAGGATTCTGGGGCAGTAGCATAGATGAACAATAATGGAACCTGAAATAAAATATTTGCAACGATGATAAAGAGAAATTAATGAGTTCCAGCAATAATTTTAGCAGCAAATTGATAGTATTTGATGACTAATGTATGTAATACAAAAATATGAATAAATCTAAGATGTCTCAAGGTTTTGGTTTTGAGGACTAGGTAAATGGTGGTGCCAATAACCCAGTGTATTAGTCTGTTTTCACACTGCTAATAAAGACCTACTCAAGACTGGGTAATTTATACAGAAAAGAGGTTTAATTGACTTACAGTTTCACAAGACTGGGGAGGCCTCAGGAAACTTAGTCATGGCAGAAGGGGAAGCAAACATGACCTTCTTCACATGGCGGCAGGAGAGAGAAATGAGAGCCTAACAAAGGGGGAAATCCCTTATAAAACCGTCAGATCTTGTGAGAACTTACTATCATGAGACTAGCATGGGGGAAACCACGTCCATGATTTGATTACTTCCCACCAGGTCCCTCCCATGACACATGGGAACTACAATTCAAGATAAGATTTGGGTACAGACACAGCCAAACCATATCACCCAGTTAAGGAGAACAGGGGAGGTTGAGCTACCAGATGAGGTTTAGGAAATGGAGTCAAAGTAAACGGAACAAGATTAGGTAAGGTTAAGAGAATGAGGTTGATTGAAGTTGTGAGGACAAGGTCAGTTGAAGTCAAGGGAATGAGGTTAAAAGAAGGAGGATGGTTAAGGTCTGTAGGAGGAAGATGAGAGGACATGGTTGAGGTGAGAAGGATCAGAAGACAAGGCTTATGACATTTAGAGGCCGAGGTTGGTTGATGATGTTGAAAAGTCAAACTCAGGTGATCAAGAGTCAGTGTTTGGGTGAGGTTGAGTTCCAGTTAGGTAGAGAGGATGAGGTAATGTTGAGAGGAGTTAAGAGGTTGAGTTTTGTTCTTCAGGATTGAAAGGATAAGATTGTTTGAGGCTGATAGTGGTTGCATGGGTTGAGAGATTGAGGTTAGGGTGGTCAAGAGGGTAAATTGCTGAGGTCAAGGGGGGTTGACACTGTGGTCTAAAGGAACAAATTGGATCAAGAGAGGATGGGTTCAGTTGAGAAGTTTGGAAAAGGATGTAGAAAGCACAATATGGATTTGGGGTGACCAACCGTCATTGTTTGCTTGAGACAGTCCTGATTTTTGTACTGAAAGTTTGGCATCCCAGGAAAAAAAAATCTTGCTTCTCAGTAATGGATGTGCAAAGTTCATGGGAAAGTATAAGCCTAAAAAAGTAAGGGCTGGAAGCAACAGCTTTCAAGTTTTAGAAAATGATTTGGAATAGTTTATCTGCTGTCCCTAGTGGCTGTTGCTGTTTTTTTCTCATGAGTGCTGATTCTAACCACCAAGGATCCACAATAATGGGTCATACATTGTTGGATCACACCAAAAGATGTGATTTAAGTGTGCAATATAAGTACATTGCAATTGCGAGCAGTAAGTCTTCGACTTTGCCTGCCTGTTGTGCTTTGTAACAGATGGTGTTAATTTTTAACATTATAAATATTGTGACCGTGTTTTCTAAGATTAGATAATGAAAATGAGAACAATTATAATATCAGTGCCAGTATGATTCAGACATCACTGAAAAGGAAAGCTAAATGACTCTGTTACTTTAATGACATATGGAAGGACACATACAACTGGATTAAGGAGTTAAATAACCAAAACGGAGCATACTGCACAATACGCAAACAAGAAATTAGATTGGGCATGGTGGAGACAGGAATGTGAAAACAGATATGAAGACTGAATCTCACAGGTCCACGATGAGGCAGGCAAGTACTTATAAATCAATCATAAGTTTACTCATCTCCCCAAAATACAACACTATACTCAGTCTAAAATAGAGCTGCTGAGTTAGCTTGTGTATACCATACCAGTGAGAACATGCATTATCATATTGTTCTCTTGATTGCTCTATGAAACTGACTAAAGTGACATTTTTCTGATTCAGAGGTTAGAACTACTAAAATATCCTATGGGTGAACAAAAGGGGGACTGGTACCAGGTTTGTTGACCTCCTATGTATACTGTTAAATTTTACCAAGGATCGTGCTTTCTATAGTATATCAATGCTAAACAGAAAAATGGCACCAAGAAATGTCCACCTTAGCTCTTAGGTACTTGATTTAGAAAAAATTGACTTTCAAATTATCTTCTGGGGCCGGGCATGGTGGTTCACATGTGTTAATCCCAGCACTTTGGGAGGCCAAGGTTGGTGGATCACTTGAATCAGGAGTTCAGGACCAGCCTGGGCAATATGGTGAAGCCTCATCTCTGCAAAAAATGAAAAAAGTAGCCAGGCGTGGTGGTGCGTGCCCGCAGTCCCAGCTACTCGGAGGCTGATCTGGGAGGATTGATTTAGCTCAGGAGTTTGAGACTGCAGTGAGCTGTGATCGTGCCATTGCACTCCAGCCTGGGTGACAGAGCGAGACCCTGTCTCAAAAAAACAAGAGACCCAAAAAGCCAAATTATCTTCTGATTTCTTTGAAGATTTTAATGAAACCACAGAAAATGTAAAACCAAAAATTGTTCATTATCTTGTCAGTTGTTGCTTTTGCCGAGTTTTCTTTATGGGATACCAATCAGATGTGTGTTATATTCTTCATGCCCAACATTTCTATTATGATTTTTCAATGTTTTGTTTTCCCCTCATTTTTTTTTTGTACTTTATTTTGTATATTTTCTATTGTGTTATCTTCTAGTCACTAAACCTCTTTTTTGCTGTGTTCAATCTCCACATGAAGCCATCCCTTGATTTAGTGATTTCAGTTACTATATTTTTTAGTTTTAAAATGCATTTAATTCTTTATTACACATTCTAGTAGTCTGGAGAAATCTTCTATGATGCCATATTTTAATCTATTTTTTCCTTTGATATCTTGAACATATACAAATTATTGTTACTTAAAAGGCCTGTCTCCAACATAAGGATCACTATAGATCTGCTTTATTTTTCTCTTGTTTTTTCAGTTATATGATTCTATCTTTAAACATGCCTCATAATTTTTAAATTAAATACTAGACATTATTTATAAACAATTATAGAGGTTCCAGATGGTATTGTTTTCTTCCATAAAAGGCTTATCCTTTTTTCTGCAATGCAGATAGATTGAGGGCTGCTCCATCTTACTATCATCCAGGAGTGAGCCAGGTCCTGGCTTGACTTCAGTTAATTAAGACTTAGGCTATCCTCTCTGTTTCTTCACTATTCCTAGCCCCCAATCTGTCTGTATTGCAGAAAAAAGGATAAGCCTTTCCTGGAGGAAAACAATATCATCTGGAACCTCTATAGTTGTTTATAAATAATGTCCATGGACCTACATGGCTTTAAATTGATACTCCAGGAAATTCTGCTCTACTTTTCAGAGAATTTTCAACCTAGTGGTATACTTCTATCTTATGCAGTTCTAGAATTTCAAAACTGTTGCATGTTTTGATCTCTACTTTTTGTCATTATAGCCCTGTGTGGTGGTTTCTGTGACCTCCAGTAGCAGCCATCTGCCTGGTTTCAAACCTTTGTTCTTATCCTATGGGTTTACCAGGTGTGTCAAGGGTTTCCAGGGAAAAAATGGGCTTTCAACTCTAAGCTCTTTTGGAACCCTTCCTTTAGTGGGTCTTTATCTCTTAAACTCCAAGAGACTGCAGTAATAGCATTTTTTGGTTGATTATTTTGTTTTGCAAATTACTTTGACATTATTGGATAAATTTTAGATTATTGGATAAATTTTGTACAGAAAATAAAGATACAGGAAGAAAGTTTATCAAAGCATTATACAATAGAGTAGCATCTTAGGTAGAGGTTTGATTTTAATGTATGCTGGTAAGGCAGAAATTTCACACAATCAAAATTAGCACTAAAAATTTCTTTTAAATCACACAAAGTACAGATATATCTCTCAATAATACAGTCAGTTCCTCGTGCCCACCAACAGTAGGTCATTTGCTGTTTTCTTAGTTGAAAGCATATGAGGAAGTTAACTTGTATTGTAGGTTTGTGTTTTATCCCTTTTACATACATGCAATTATTAATATAGTAATTCATTATTTTATTTTTATTTATCTAAGTTGTTTTGTTGTGAAACACAATACAGAAACCAAGGAGTATATTGAACATACATGTACAATTTAATAAATTATCATAAACTGAAAACCCAAGTAACCACCATCTGTGTCAAAAAGTAAAAATTGTTAAGCATTCCAGACCCATTCTGTGTGCTGCTTCCTAATCTCTCCTCCTGCCGCTCCATGTCTTCCTCTTGGCCCTAGCATAAACACTACTGCGCTTTTTTGTTTTTGTTTTTGTTTTTTGTTTTTTTGAGACGAAGTCTCACTCTGTGGTCCAGGCTGGAGTTCAGTGGTGCAATCTTGGCTCACTGCAACTTCCGCCTCCTGGGTTCAAGCGATTCTCCTGCCTCAGCCTCCCGAGTAGCTGGGACTACAGGTGCATGCTACCACGCCCGGCTAATTTTTTGTATTTTTAGTAGAGACAGGGTTTCACTGTGTTAGCCAAGATGGTCTTGATCTCCTGACCTCATGATCCACCTGCCTTGGCCTCCCAAAGTGCTGGGATTACAGACATGAGCCACCACACCTGGCCCTACTGTGCTTTTTATAGTAATTACTTCCTTGGTTTTACCATTTTAGAATACATCCCAAAACCTTTGATTAATTTTCTTTGTTTTGAATTTTATATCAGTGGAATTATATATATTCTTTTGTGCTGACTTCTTTTATTCAATATTATATATGTGAAATTCATTTGTGCTTCAAATCTAAGTCAGGGATCAGCAAGCTTTTCCTGTAAAGAGCCAGATAGTAAATTTGAACTTCTGCATTTACTCAAGTTTGCTGTTGTAGTACAAAAGGCAGTCATAGACAAAGGTAAACAAATGAACATAGCTATGTTCATGTTTCCATTTTTATTTGTTTCCATAAATTTTAAAAATTTGGTCCTTTTTTTTTTTTTTTAACTCTTTGGTCATTCAGGAGCGTTGTGTATAATTTCCATGTATTTGTACAGCTTCCAAAGCTCCTCTTGTTATTGATTGCTATTTTTATTCTGTTTTGGTCAGAGTAGACACTTGATATGATTGATACTTTTTTGAATTTGTTGAGACTTTGTGGCCTAACATATGGTCTATCCTGGAGAATATTCCATGTGCTGATGAGAAAAAGTGTATTCTGCAGCAGTCTGATGACACATTCTGTAAATTTGTCTTAGGTCCATTTGGTCTAGGGTAGAGTTTAACTTTAATGTGTCTTTGTTGATTTTGTACCTAGATGATCTGTCCATTGCCAAAAGTAGGTTGTTGAAATCCCCCAATATTATGTATTGCAGTCTGTCTCCCTTTAGATTTGTTAATATTTGCTTTGTATATCTGGGTGCTCAGCTGTTGGGTGCATATATATTTACTGTTGTTATATTCTCTTGCTGAATTGACTCTTTTATCATTATATAATTTCCTTCGTTGTCTCTTTTTAGTTTTTGACTTAAGTCTATTTTATCTGATATAAGTATAGCTACTTCTGTTCTTTTTTTGGTTTTCATTTCCATGGAATATCTTTTTCTATTCCTTCACTTGCAGTTTATGTGTATCTTTATAGATGAGGTGAGTTTCCTATAGGCAGCATATACTTGGGTGTTATATTTTAATTCAGTGAGCCACTCTGTTTTCTAACTGGAGAGTGTAGTCCATTTACATTCACTGTTATTATTGATAGGTAAGGCCTTACTACTGCCATTTTGTTGCTTGTTTTCTAGTTGTGTAACTCCTCGCATCCTTTTTTCATTCCTTTTTATGTGATTAACTGATTTTTATCTGGTAGTATATTTTAACTTGTTGCTTTTTATTTTTAGTGTATCTGTTACGGATTTTTGCTTTGCAGTTACCTCAAGGCTTACAGAAAACATCCTATAGATATAACAACTTATTTGAAATGGATACCAACTTAACTTTGATTACAGAAAAAGGAAAAACCAAAATAAAAACCTATACACATTAACTCTCTTTCCCCCAACATGTTGAATTTTTGATGTTACAATTTATTTATTTTTGAGATGGAGTCTTGCTTTATTGCCTAGGCTGGAGTGCAGTGGTGCAATCTCGGCTCACTGCCACCTCTGCCTTCCAAGCGATTCTTCTGCCTAAGACTCCCAAGTAGCTGGGACTACAGGTGCGCACCACCACAACCGATGAATTTTTGTAATTTTAGTAGAGACGGGGTTTTGCCATGTTGACCAGGCTGGTCTTGAACTCCTGACCTCAAGTGATCCATCCACCTCGGCCTCCCAGGATGCTGGGATTACAGATGTGAGCCACTGCGCCTGGCCACAATTTACATTTTTGTATTGCCAATCTCTTAGCAAATTGTTGCAGTTACTATTTTTAATAGTTTTGTCTTACTAAAGATAAAAGTGATTTAAACATCATGATTGCAGTATTAGTATATCATGCAGTATTCTTATCTTTTAGTATGAAGAACTCTCTTTAGCATTTCTTTTGGGACAGGTCTAGTAACAATAAATTCCCTCTGCTTTTGTTTGGCAGTCTTTCATCTCTCCATTTCTGAAGGATAACTTTGCTGGATACAGTATTTTTGGTTGTTACAGTATTTTTGTTTGTTTTCCTCAGCACTCTAAATATATTGTCCCACTCTCTTCTGGCCTTTATAGTTTCTACTAAGAAGTCTGCTGCCAGGCATATGGATGCCCCTTCTATCATTTGCTTCACTTCTCTTATTGCTCTTAGCCTCTTATCTTTGACTTTGGTGTTTGAGAGTTTGATTATAATATGTCTTGGGGTATTATTTGGGTTGAATCTGATTGGTGACATTTTACCTTGCTTTTCCCAGATACTTATATATTTCTCCAGGTTTAGAAAGTTTTCTGTTATTATTTCTTTGAATAAGCTTTCTGCTCCTTTGTCTTTCTTAGTTCCCACTTTAACTCCAATAACCTGAATATTTGCTGTTTTTATGTTGTTCCATAGATCCTGTGAGCTGTTTATTACTTTCATTCTTTTTCCTTTTTTCTCTTCTTACTGTGTATTTTCAAATCGTTTCTCTTTGAGCTCACTGATCTTTCATCTGTTTGCTGAATTCTTCTGTTGATGCTTTGTAGTGCATTTTTTGTTTCATTCATTGTATTTTTCAGCTCCAGGATTTCTGTTTGATTTTTAAAAAATTATTTCAACCTCTCTGTTCAATTTCTCTGATAAATTTCTAAATGGCTCTCTGTCTTTTCTTGAAGTTTATTTAACTTCCTTGAAACAGCCATTTTCAGTTTTTTGTCTGAAAGATTACACATCTCCATCATTTTAGGGTTGGTTTCCAGTGCCTTATTTTGTCCATTTGATGAGGTCATATTTTCCTAAATGTTTCTGATACTCAAGGAAATGTGACAGTTTGTGCACATTGAGAGCCTCTGTATTTATCTTAGTCTGTGCAAGTCTGGTTTTGTTTGTGCCTGTCCTTCTTCAGAGGGTGTTCCAGGGATTCTAAGCACACTGACTGTTGTCTTCCCTGAGCCTGTGTCCACCTGAGCTGCCTCAGCCCTAGAGAGTGCCCAAAGCCCAGGCTTGCCGTGAGTCTTATGAAGGCTCCAAGGTTGGCATGGCTTTTTGGCCCAAATGGATCTGTGGAAGATCCAAGGTAGGTACTGGGGCTGTGTGGGAATGCTGACCAGGTACTTGAGTCCAGAAGACTGTCTCAGCGTACCAGACAAGCATGCCTCCCAACAGTTCTCTGCATAGGCAGGATGGGTTCTTGACTGTAGCAAAAGGGACTGGAGTTGAGACTGGACCCCTTCTGGATCTGCTGTGGGAAGGCTGATGATCCCCTCTCATTGCCACGGATGAGCATGTGTCACTTGGCAGGTCACTGCATCAGTGGGGTAGTTCCTCAACTTCCACAGGAGGGGCTGAAGCTGAGACTGAGCTGCCTCGGGATCTACTGTAGAAGAGAGGATGGCATGCCTGTCACATTGGCTCAGGTGGGTGTGCATTTCCCAGCAGGTCCCTAGACAGACAGGATAGTTCCCCAACTGTGGCAGGAGAGGCTAGAACTGAGACTGGGCCCCCCTGGGATCTGCTGTGGCCTGGAGGCTAGAGAGCTGGATCTTGTTGGCTCAAGTGGGGCACTTGTCTCCCTGGAGGATCCTGCGCAGACAGGATCGTTTCTCAACTACAGCAAGAGGGGCTGCAGCTGACGCTGGGCCCCCTCAGGATCTGCTGTGACAGGAGGTTGGCAAGCCCACAGGGGAGGCCTATACTCCTGGGCTGCCAGATATGTTGAGTCTCCCTTTGGGTCCTTGTGTAAACAGCTCTGAGCTGGGACCTGCAGCTGAAGGCTGGAGCAGAGCCACAGGGTCACTTTCAGGCTCACTGTCAAGACCAATATCATCAGGCAGACAAGCCTTTCTGTTAAGTCACTAGCATGTATGAGTCCTTCTGGACCTCTTGGCAGCTGGTTTTGGTTGTAGACTGAAGGCCAAATGGGGCTATAGCTAAGCCCGTTGAAGGACTGGGCTGTTTCCAGGCTTGAACTTAGAAGCAAGCTCAGTGGATCATCCACCTAGGTGTGAATGCATTCAAAACGACCTTCCTAGGTCTTTGGCTCCATCAGGGTTTGACAACCTCCTACCTGAATTCTGAGGTTCCTGCAGCAAGACTTTTTACTGTGGATAGGTGCAGGATTCTTGTTGCTATGGGGGGATATGAGCAGGTTACCTTCTATTCTGCCATCTTGGTGACATCCTGAACATTCCCATTCTTGTATGCTTTTCTCCTGTACATGTACAAAAAGGAATTGCTAGATTATAGGGTGTTGTATCATACTTCAATTTTATTTGATAATTCCAAACTGTTTTTCAGAATGACTATCCATCTATACTGTTACCAGCAATTTATTGTTAAGGCTCCAAATACTTTGTATTGTCAGTTTAATTTTGTTTTGTTTTTTAAAATCATTCTGGTGGGTGTGTTACGAATTGCTATCCAATTATGAGGTGAATTTAAATTTTCCATGGTGACCGATGAAGTTAATCACTTTTTATATGTCTGTTGGCCATTTTTGTATTCTATTTTGTATATTCATTTTTGTGATGTGTCTATTGAGGCCTCTTGCTCATTTTTTTCTACTGGATTATTGGGTTTTTTTCCTACTATTTTTTAGGAGTCTTTTTATGCATGCCAGATTATAAACCTTTTAGTCTTCACTTTCTTAATGGTATCTTTTGATAAACAAATTTTCTTAAGTTTAATACACTTGGTTGGGTGCCGTGGCTCACACCTGTAATCCCAGCACTTTGCGAGGCCGAGGCAGGTGGATCATGAGGTCAAGAGATCAAGACCATCCTAGCCAATATGGTGAAACCCCGTCTCTACTAAAATACAAAAAATTAGCCGGGCGTAGTGGCACATGCCTGTAGTCCCAGCTACTCGGGAGGCTGAAGCAGAGGAATTGCTTGAACCCAGGAGGCAGAGGTTGCAGTGAGCCGAGATCGTGCCACTGCTTTCCAGCCTGGTGACAGTGAGATTTCCATCTCAAAGAAAAAAAGTTCAATACAATATATTTTATTCTTCTTTTACTTTATGATTTTTAAGAAACATTTTCCCTACTCCAAAGTATAAATATTTTTCTATGTGAATTACTATAAGTTTTGATTTTTGCCTTTCATATTTGGGTCTACATTCTATGTGGAATTGATTTTTTTCTTTTTTTGTATGTGATGTGAGGAATATATTCTCTTAATAGATAAGAAATTGTGCAATCATCAAATATTGACAATCGCATTGTTTCGTGACTGCTCTTCTGTGCCTAATTTGTCATAAATCAACTGTTCATATAAGTTTTTAAGTCTGCTTCAGGATTCTCTGTTCTGTCGCATTAGTTTGTTTGCAAATTACATTGTGATTTCCAAATTAACTTCGCCTTTCTGGAATAAATTCAACTTGATCATGGTATGCTGTCTTTTTGGTATGTTGCTGAATTCTTTTTACACTAAGAATTCTGCATTTGTGTTCATATATGAAGCTGGCCTGTTATTTTTATTTTCTTGTGAAATTTGATATCAGGGTTATGCTTACCACATAATTCATACAGAGTGTTTGTTACACTGGCATTATTTCTTCCTTGGGAGAATTCACTGGCAAAGCCATCTGACCCTGGACTTTTCTTTGTGTGAGGTTATTCATTATAGATTTAATTCTTTATAGATTGTAAAACTATTCAGGTTGTCTATTGTGCCTTTGTCAGTTTTGGAAAGTTGTATTTTTCTATTAATCTGTCCATTTTATCTAAGTTTTCAAATTAATGGCATAAAATTATTCATATTATTATACTCTTTATTGCCTATAGAATTTGTGCTGTTGACCTTTTCATCTAAATACTCTTTATTTGTGACTTCTCTTTTTTCTCTTAATCAACTTCACTTTGATTAAAAATGTTTTTGTTTTGTTGTGCTTATTTCTTATGATGTTCTTTCAGTCTGAGGACTCATTGCTATGTAGTGGTGAATTCTTTGCTATTTTTATTTAATTATTGCTCTCCCTCCCCTTTATTTTCTAATTCTGGAACTTCTAGCTATGTGTTAGAACTTTTAGGTCTAGCTTTTGTAAAATACTTTTTTTCATTCATCTCATTTTTATCTCTTCATGCATTATTCCAGTGAAATCCTCTGGTTATGCTTCTATTTTACTTATTTGATCTTTGCTTTTTTGTAGTTGTTGTTTATTGATTTCAGCCATCATACTCTTTTTCCTGAAGGCTTTGCCACATACAGAAAGGCTTTTTATACAGTTAATATAGCATTAGCTCCTTTTTACCTCTATGGATTTTTTTTTTTTTTTTTTGGTAGATATCTACTTCTGGCCCATGGAAGGTATTCCTTTTTGTTTTCAAGTGCAGCATTATATTAGTATTTTTGTTATTTCTCCATAATATAATTTAGATTGGTGGTTAATAGTGTGAACTCTGGAGGCAGAGAACTAATACTTAAAGCCAAGCTCTGCTTCTTTGACATGTTATTCAAACCCCGTGTCCCATATTCCTTACATATAATACAGATCTCATGGATTTTGTGAGGATGAAACAAGATAATATATGTCAAAATGCCTCTCACATAACAAGTAATCAGTAGATATTAACTCTTTTTAGTTGAATAATGCTGGCAGTAGTACATTAGTTATCATTATGTGATCAGAGTAGATGGTGGAGATTTTGCCATGTGTTTGTATTTGGCTATAGTATTTCAGCCATCTCTTCTATAACTTAAAATTGAAAATTGAGTCTAACAAACAGACTTAGATAACTTATTACTTTTTTTCCTTTTCTACAGATGGATCCTGAGCTTGAAAAAAAACTGAAAGAGAATAAAATATCTTTAGAGTCGGAATATGAGGTACGGTATGTTAATATAGTCTCTGTCTTATAACAATCAGTTACTGGTTTTATCTGCCTTAAAAGTATTAGTAGTACAGAAAAAAATTACGTTGAATATATATGGTATTTGATAAACTATAATCATTTGAAAAGCAAATAAAAAGATGGATCCATACTTAATATACTACAAATAAATAAATTCCAGATGGATCAAGAATTTGAAAGTAAAAAACAAAATGCTGAAAGTACTAGGAGAATATAAATGGAGAATTTTGTTTGTTGTCTTGAGTCAAAAAAGCCTATTTAAATGTGATATAAAACCCAGAAGCTCTAAAAGTAAAGATCAATGGGTTCATACATACAAATTCAAAAGTTAAGAATGAAAAAAGTATATAAAGTCACAGATTACATGAGAAATCCTACAGATATAGTTTAATCTTATCATGGCACATTAATTTACTTAAATATGAAGACCATCTCCAAATCAATGTGAAAAAGTTCAACAATTCATTTGTTCAGTAAGAACATGGGAAAGCATAGCATGTAAAACTTTTGGACAAAAGGAAATAAGTATCATTCTTAAACATATGAAGAGATGCTCAATTTATCATAATAGGAATGTCAAAGTCTAACGAGGTATCACTTTTCACCCATCTAATTAGCAAAAATCAAGGAGTTTAACAGCACGCTATATTATGGGATGTGGTGAGGATGTTCTTCATGTCTTTGAGTTTGTCATTTTTTTGACTGGATTATATTTTCCTGTTTCTTTGTATATGTCTGGTCATTTTGTATTGAAAGGTAGTCATTGTGAATAATACACTGAAGAAAATTCTGAAGAGTGTTGATTTTTATTTTGACAATTTAATTGTTAGCTAATCACCTTAAACTTCATTTTGTGCTTTGTAGGGAAGTATCTGTTGAAGGGCTAGCTATCTTTCCTTGGCCCTTCTCCCTTGTTGGGACTCAATCTCCAGACTATCTCCCCAGAGAATCTTGTCAAGGCTTGGCTTTAAGCTTTGTTGGGGTGAGTCTAAAGAAAATCTTATCGCGCCACTGCACTCCAGCCTGGGTGACAGAACGAGACTCCGTCTCAAAAAAAAAAAAAAAAAAAAAAAAATCTTATTCTCAGGCATAATTTTTACTCCTGAAGAACAGTCCTTTTGGTGTCTTAGGTGGATGTCAGGGTAGCAACAAAATGTTAAAAGAAAGGTCTCCACTCTGGCAGGCCTGGAAACTCCATATTCTTGACACTGTTTTTTCTCAGCATTTCTTGACGCTGTTCCACACTCAGGCCTATACCAGTTGGCTGTGAAGTGTTATGTCTTGGGTGGTTTTTCTCAGCACATTTACATAGCCCATTCTTCAGCCACTGTGCACGTTTTGTAGAATTCTACAAGGAATCTCCTTCACCAAAGATCTGTAAAGGCTAGACTACTTTTACATGAACTTGTTATTTAAGAATTTTCTTCAGTTCTGTTAAGCATACATATCTTACGTTACCTGGATAATGGCCATTATTCTTTATTAAAATCTTTTAATAACTTTAGATCATTTCATAACTATACTTATGAAATAATCTAAATTCTTCTTGTATGCTAAATTAGTTGAATTTTGTTCCTTCATGTATATATGTAATACAGACTCCTGGTAAAACTATAAGTGAACAGTATTTTCATTTACTACTTTCCCATTGATTAAAAAAAAAAATCCTGTAACTTGCTAACTTGTAGTTCTACAAGTGCTATACCAGTAATGATGCTATGAAGAGTTTGTCTGGGAGTAGATTTTCCTTCTAGTTCTTCTAGGACCTGTAGAATTTGAGAGCTGAAGACTCTCAAATGTAGAGTATTTGGTCCAACCTTTTCATTGTTACTTATGAGAGAGTTAATGCCCAGGTGGCTTAAATTACTTTCCAAAGGTTATATAGCTAGTTAGTAAGAGAGTAATGCTTAGTATCCAAGTGTCAAGGTAAATTTATTCCATTTTCCCTGTCTCTGGATATAAGCTATCCTATGTTTTCACAGCTTTTTTTTTCCATCTTACTCAATTATTTCAGAACAACCAAAACAGCAGATATGTAAAAGTTAATGTCAGAGTGGTGGTCAGTAGGAGAAAGGTGAAGAAACATTTATTTCTTCCCTTTTATTCCAACTATTTTTGTGCTTGAGAGGTACTTCAGACTAAATGAAGGTAGGATGATCCATAATGTAGTTGCAGTTAGTTTCAGTTGCCCAAAAGTGTTTTGCTTATGATAGATAGCTGTAGGAAAGTCTTTTCATTCCTAAGCCCAGGCGTAAGACAAATGATCTTGGTCTCTTTTCTTTTTTGTAGAAGACTTTAGGGTCTCCACCCTTTGTTCTTTTCTTCTTATTTTCTACCATCATCCCTGATAACCCTTTCAGTCACTGTGCTGGATCAGCCTTCAGATTTGTACTTTTGTTTTCCCAGCTTCAGCCTTTTCCTTGTCCTCTCAAAAATAAGGCATGTAGACTCTTTCTCTATTTTAATAGTTTTACGGTTAAGGTGGCGTAAGATAGGCATTAACATCAGTAACAAATGAAAAGTTCTAAATCTTAAGATGACATTTCATCAATGATTGTAGTTGATTTATTTGCTACAGTTGTAATCGAGGACCTATCGGATACTTTCTACTCATTTATTCATTGAGTTAGTTGTGTCCTAATCAAAGCCACAGGCTCTTATACTAATATTTATACTTTAATTTTTTGTGGTTCTATAGAAAATCAAAGACTCCAAGTTTGATGACTGGAAGAATATTCGAGGACCCAGGCCTTGGGAAGATCCTGACCTCCTCCAAGGAAGAAATCCAGAAAGCCTTAAGACTAAGACAACTTGACTCTGCTGATTCTTTTTTCCTTTTTTTTTTTTTTAAATAAAAATATTATTAACTGGACTTCCTAATATATACTTCTATCAAGTGGAAAGGAAATTCCAGGCCCATGGAAACTTGGATATGGGTAATTTGATGACAAATAATCTTCACTAAAGGTCATGTACAGGTTTTTATACTTCCCAGCTATTCCATCTGTGGATGAAAGTAA
The DNA here is from genome assembly GCF_000001405.40 of Homo sapiens. NCBI lineage: Eukaryota > Metazoa > Chordata > Mammalia > Primates > Hominidae > Homo > Homo sapiens. Next base: position 70,326,127 of record NC_000014.9, on the reverse strand, counting down.
CAATGTTGGCCACGTATATTTTACACCTCGAAATAAAAAATGTGAATACTGCTCCAAAAACAGAGTCACGTATTCCACTCTCCAACTACCCACATATTCCTTTTGCAATAGCCATTAGGGCATCATTTTGATATTTCATTCTGATTTCTGATTCTCTGATTTCTGATTCCTAATGAGGACAGTAGGTCTGGATCCAAATTCTCACAGTAAAATCAAGCAGTAATTTTCTCTCATATCTATTAGGGAAAGAAAAATGATCACAGTCTGCTAAGAGTCTTGATTTTCTTTGTAATGCCTCACATAGTATGATAATCAGTCTCCAAAGCATCACATGATAATTACAATGATACCATTAACATGTCAAGGAAATTATATTATTTATGGTTGTCAAAAATTATGAAGTAGTGTATGATTATAAGCAGATATGGCAAATTTGTTCAGTAAATCCATAGATGACTACATTTTGAGAAATACTAAGATAATACTAAAAATTATGCCTTAGCATAATTTGCATGCAAAATTGCCCTCTAGTGTTTTTGTTTTGTTTTGAGACATAGTCTCGCTCTGTTCGCCCAGGCTGGAGTGCAGGGGCACGATCTCTGCTCACTGCAAGCTCTGCTTCCCGGGTTCACACCATTCTCCTGCCTCAGCATCCTGAGTAGCTGGGACTACAGGCACATGCTGTCACACCCGGCTAATTTTTTGTATTTAGTAGAGATGGGGTTTCACCACGTTAGCCAGGATGGTCTCCATCTCCTGACCTTGTGATCCGCCCACCTCGGCCTCACAAATTGCTGGGATTACAGGTGTGAGCCACCACGCCTGGCCGAAAGTTAGTTGTTTTGAACTCATTTTCTCCTTTTTACCCCTGCCTTTATCAGCTTCTACCTTCTGGTTTCATGCTGAGTTCTAGTTGCCTAAAGTCTCCATTGAAACACTCCTGTTATAATTGCCATAAAATCATAAATCCACTCCCCCTTTCTCCTCCTAGTCAAAATTTGTATTCTTTTCAGCAGGTTGGTTTTAATAAAAAGTAAATTAAGTTGATTATCTAGTGATAATTTGTGATAGACATGATTCATAAGATAGTTATCTGGGGGAGCAATTGGATTTCAGAGAAAAAAAGTCTCCACTTATTATTCACTCATTAAACAAGTAACTCAAAAAAGGATCATTGATTTAAATGTAAAACATAAAAGTATAAAACTTTTAGGAAAAACCACAGGAGAAAGGCTTCAACTTACCGAATAGCTCTTACCAAAGAATATTGATAAAAGAAAAACTTGACAGATTGACACATCAATATTACAAGCTTTTGTTTGCCAAAGGCCCTGTTAAAAGGATGAAAAATATAGACAGAGAAAACACATGTAAACCACATATCTGGCAAAAGACTCATACCTAGAGTAAAGAACTCTGTAAACTCAGTTAAAAAATATCCAATTAGAAAATGGGCAAAAAACATAGAAACATTTCACTACAGAGGATACACTGATAGCAAATTAGCTCTGAAAAGAATGTTTGACATCACTATGAAGGAAATGCAATTTTAGACTACATTGACATCACTAGACATCTATTAGAATACCTAAAAAAAAAAAAAAATTAGTGACAGTATGAAATGCTGGCCAGGATGTGGAGAAATGAAATCTCACATGGTGGTGGTATCATGTAAATGGTACAACTCGTCTGGAAAATTGGCAGTTTCTTTAAAAGCATAAGGGACTTCTGGTTTCCAGTTTGATATGTAAAAAGTTTGAAAAATTTAATTCCCATCATAACAAAGAAAAAAGCTGAACAACTAAACTCTGACTTTGAGTTGAAGTCACAGGACAAACTACCACCCTGAAAACTGGAGACAAAGGCAGGTCCAGAAAATCATATTTTACCTGGAGGAGCACCTGCCCAGAAACCACCACTGGAGCCAGCATTGGGTAGGAATATCTAAAGGTAATTGAATACTTCCTGGAGGCTGATCATGGACTAATTGAGAGAAAATCTCTTGAGAGGAGGCCAAGCCTTGTGTGGATTTGAGAAGGCACACTTGTGAGTTTTACCTCTAAGAGTCCCACCTGGTTTTCATAGTGAATATCAGAAAAATCCCCTTGTGCTTCTAGCAGATGTAGGTGAGAGTAACTATTCTGAAATAAGCCCAGAGAATTCTGTTTTATTTAATGTAAGCCTGGCCCCAAAGTAAACTCTTTTGCTAGAACCTAATTGCATTGGGTTTTACCAGTGCCTAGACAACTGGAGGAAGGGGAATAACCAACTCCAGCCTCCTCCAACCTTCCTGTTTTACCTAAATGGGGGTGAGGAGAGGTGGAGGAAGACTGAAAAACACTTGTGAATGTCCAGTCTGGGGACCTAGGCTTATTAAGAAGCCTAATCACAGGACCTATAGAATGCTCCCCACTGCATGTATTACCACCACATCACTAAAGACCTATTCACTCGAGTTCATTTTACCCGGTACATCACGTCCAACAGTCAACAAAAACGAAAGACAAAAAGCACAGTTTGAAGAGAAAATGAGCATCAGAATCAGATTCAGACATGGCAGGGATGTTGCAGTGATCACACTGGGAATTTAAAATATGATTAATATGCTAAGAGCTCTGATGGAAAAAGTATACAACGTGCAAGAACAAATGGGCAATAAAAGCAAAGAAATGGAAGAATTAAAAGGAAATTCTAGCATTAAAAAACTAACAAGAGAACAGTGACTTTGATGAGGTCATCAACAGAGTGGACAGAACTGAAGAAAGGGAGAAAAGTACATATAGTATGTTAACAGTAATCAAAAAGTTTGAGTAGTTATATTAATCTCAGACAAATCAGACTTTAGAGCACTGAAAATCATGGAAGAAGAGGGGCATTACATAATAATAAAGGGGGCCCACCCTCTCCAAGAAGACATAAAATTCTTAATGTATATACACTGAACAAAGCAGCAAAATACATGAGCAAAAACTGGTAGAGCTGCAAATATGTGAGAAATATAGGAATAGACTTACAGAGACACAATCCTCTTATCAGCAACTGACAAATCAAGTAGGCAGAAAATGATTGAGGACATAGTTGAGCACCATCAATCAGCTATATCTAATTGACATCTATAGCGTACTCCACAACAACAGAATAGGCATTCTTCTCAAGTTCAAACAACATTCATCACTATGAACAACCATATAACACACCTCAACAAATTTGAAAGGATAAAAATCATACAAAGTATGCCTTCAGACTATTATGGAATTAAACTAGAAATCAATGACAGAAAGATAGCTAGAAAATCCCAAAGTACTCATAGATTAAATGACACTCTTCTAAATAACACATGTGTAATGAAATTTAAATAAATTAAAGATATTTTGCACTAAATGAAATAGAAAATAAAACTTACCAAATTTGTTGGATGCAGCAAAAGAGGTGCTTTGAAGGAATTTTATAGAATTGAATGTGTTTAATAGAAAAAAATATATACATTAGAGACAGGGTCTTTCTCTGTTACCTAGGCTGGAGTACAATGCCACAATCATAGCTTACTGTAGTCTCAAACTCCTTGGCTCAAGCAACCCTCCTGCTCATCCTCACTGGTCATTAGAGAAATGCAAATCAAAACCACAATGAAATACCATCTCATGCCAATTAGAATGGCAATCATTAAAAAGGAAACTACAGATGCTGGGAACATCACACACCAGGGCCTGTTGGGGGGTGGGTGGCTAGGGGAAGGATAGCATTAGGAGAAATACCTAAAGTAGATGATGGGTTGGCAGGTGCAGCAAACCACCATGGCATGTGTATACCTATGTAACCTGACAAAAACAAGCAATGTGGAAAGGATTCCCTATTTAATAAATGGTGTTGGGAAAACTGGCTAGCCATATGCAGAAAACAAACTGGACCCCTTTCTTACACTTTATACAAAAATTAACTCACGACGGATTAAAGACTTAAATGTAACACCTAAAACCATAAAAACCCTAGAAGAAAACCTAGGCAATCCCATTCAGGTATAGGCATGGGCGAAGATTTCATGACTAAAATACCAAAAGCAATGGCAACAAAAGCCAAAATTGACAAATGGGATCTAATCAAACTAAAGAGCTTCTGCACAACAAAAGAAACTATCATCAGAGTGAACAGGCAACCTATAGAATGCGAGAATATTTTTGCAATCTATCCACCTGACAAAGGGCTAATATCCAGAATCTACAAAGAACTTAAATTTACAAGAAAAAAACAACCCCATCAAAAAGTGGGCAAAGGATATGAACAGACACTTCTCAAAAGAAGACATTTATCCAGCCAACAAACATGAAAAAAAGCTCATCATCACTGCTCATTAGAGAAATGCAAATCAAAACCACAATGAGACGCCATCTCACACCAGTTAGAATCACGATCATTAAAAAGTCAGGAAACTACAGATGGTGGAGAGGATGTGGAGAAATAGGAACACTTTTACACTGTTGGTGGGAGTATAAATTAGTTCAACCATTGTGGAAGACAGTGTGATGATTCCTCAAGGATCTAGAACCAGAAATACCATTTGACCCAGTAATCCCATTATTGGGTATATACCCAAAGGATTATAAATCATTCTACTATAAAGACACATGCATACATGTATTTATTGTGGCACTGTTCACAATAGCAATAGACTTGGAACCAACCCAAATGCCCATCAATGATAGACTGGATAAAGAAAATGTGGCACATATACACCATGGAATACTATGCAGCCATAAAAAAGGATGAGTTCGTGTCCTTTGCAGGGACATGGATGGAGCTGGAAACCATCATACTCAGCAACTAACACAAGAACAGAAAACCACTGCATGCTCTCACTGATAAGTGGGAGTTGAGCAATGAGAACACATGGACATAGGGAGGGGAACATCACACACTGGGGCCTGTTGGCGGGTGGAGGGCTAGGGAAGGGATAGCATTAGGAGAAATACCTAATGTAGATGACGGGTTGATAGGTGCAGCAAACCACCATGGCACGTGTATACCTATGTAACAAACCTGCACGTTCTGCAGAACTTAAAGTATAAAAAAAAAAAACATACTCTTAAAACTGTTTCAAATAAGAAATAAAGACAAAATTACAACAAATATTGAAGAGTCTTTAGGATATGTTGCAAATATGAATATATATGCCACTAATCATCTCCACGTAAGCAGTTCCTCTCCAGTAAATTTACATTGCAGTAAAAAGTGATGTCTCACAGTTCTCACATATTTTTTCATCATGTTTACTGCAATATCTTAAACCTTGAATAACACCATGGAACCCATAGAGTGCCACTAATTGATGCTCAAAGTACTCTAAGAAGCAGATAAAAGTCATGACATTATAATAAAAAGTTGAAATGCTTGATAGGTACCATAGATTGAGGTCTGCAGTGCAGTTGCCCACGATTTCAAGATACATGACTCCAGCATAAGGGCCTTTGTAAAAAAAAAAAAAAAAAAAAAGGAAAGAAAAAGAAAAAAAGAAAAATTGTGAAGCCATCACTGCAGCTATGCCAGCAGATGTGAAAACCTTGCACTTTTTGCAAACTATCTTTTTATCTCATTTTGAAATTGCAGCTTTTATGTGGTGCTGGGTTGCTATAAGAAAGACATACCTATAGACTAATATGAGTCAAGAGAAAGTGAAGTCATTATATGACAAAGCAAAAGGAAGGTGAAGAATCTAAAGCTGAAGAATTTGATGCCTGCAAAGGATAGTCTGATAATTTTACAAAGACGTTTGGCTTTAACAACAAAACAAAAAAAACAGTCACTCCCAGCCTGGCCAATAAGGTGAAACTCCATCTCTACTAAAAATACAAAAATTAGCCGGGCGTGGTGGTGTGCGCCTGTAGTCCCAGCTACTCGGGAGGCTGAGGCAGAAAAATCGCTTGAACCCAGGAGGCAGAGGTTGCAGTGAGCCAAGATCGTGCCACTGCACTCCAGCCTGGGCGACAGAGCGAGACTCCATCTCAAACAAACAAACAAACAAACAAACACTCACTCCTAAGTGTGGAAGTACACTGAGAGTTTCCTTGTTTGCTGCTTGACTGTCCTAATCATACTACAGCAAAGAGGTAGAGATAATGAGAAATAGTGCTCCAACCCTACTGGTCAGTTTCATAAGAGGCATCAGCCCAGGACTGGGTGTTTCATGGAGTATAAAGGGTAGAACTGAGTGTTGGCATATCATTTGATTCAATGGGGCCTAAAAAGCAGGGCACTTGGGAAACTGGGAGTTTGCGGAGACGTAGCCAAGTTGTCGCCTCCTTCTGGACTTCATTTTCTCTAACTGTACAACAGAAGGTGGGGTAGTAAACACCTACAGGAATGGCATTAGGATATGGTAAGACTGTAAGCACAAGGGCAGGGAATGTTTCTTTGAAATGTTCTGCCTCATTTCTCTTCCTCTCCTCTCTCTCTACCACAACAGCAAAGCTGAGCTGACCTGATGTGGAAGGTATTTTTCTTGGGCTTTCCAAGATCCTGGTAAGGTGTTAACATTTCAGTTTAAGATGTGGATTTCTTTTGTTTTTGAAAGTCCATGGGAACATTTAAATTTACAATGCAGTTAATTGGTTGTTTCCTACCACTGTCTTTGAGTTCCCCACCCTAAAAAAAATTTACTTCAATACAAAGTATTAGTAATCAATGTAACATTTACTAATAATTTCATAGGGAAGAGAGGAGATGGTTTATACTGTACCACACAAGAAGTAACTCAAGAAATCCCCCTATCGGCTGGATGCGGTGGCTCACACCTCTAATCTGGCACTTTGGGAGGCTGAGGCGGGTGGATGACTTGTGGTCAGGAGTTCAAGACCAGCCTGGCCAATACAGTGAAATCCTGTCTCTACTAAAAATACAAATTAGTGCTCACACCTGTAATCCCAGCACTTTCGGAGGCTGAGGCGGGCAGATTGCCTGAGGTCAGGAATTCGAGACCAAAGACCAACCTGGCTAACATGGTGAAACCCTGCCTCTACTAAAAGTGCAAAAATTAGCTGGGTGTGGTGGTAGCTGGGTGCCCGTAATCCCAGCTACCTGGGAGGCTGAGGCAGGAGAATCGCTTGAACCCAGGAGGCGGAGGTTGCAGTGAGCCGAGATCATGCCATTGCACTCCAGCCTGGGCGACAAGAACAAGATTTTGTCTCAAAAACAAAAACAAACAAACCCAAAAACACACCAAACAAACAAAACAAAACAAAACCACACAGCCCGGTTTGGTGGTGGGTACCATAGAGACTGAGGTAGGAGAATCGCTTGAACCTGGGAGGCGGAGGCTGTGGTGAGCCGAGATTTCCCCACTGTACTCCAGCCTGGGTGACAGAGCAAGACTGTCTCAAAAAAAAAAAAAAGTTCTTATCAAAATGTCACACCTAAAACAATATTTTAATAACATTACTCAGTAGTCTGTTCAATTAGTAGCAATAAATTCTGTGTGGGTGGAAGGATCTATCTAAATGTTTTTGTATATCTCTTTTCTGCAAACAGTGAAGTTCAGTGGAAAACCATGTAAACTGGTAGCCCTGAATTGGACTCTGGACTTTGTCACTTACAAACTGTGTAATCTTACACAAATTACATAACCTCTTTGAGTTCCAGTTGCCTCATCTGCGAACTGCAGTTTTGACTGTGTCAACAGTTGTGTGACTGTGTGAGGTATACATGGAACTCAGTGGAGAGACAGGAAAGATAAGATAGGTAATAAAGGAGTAGTATTGATCAGTACAAGGAAAATAGTCTGCTTACAGATGATAGATTGTTCTACAAGCATTGCTTCATATAATACTGTTTTTTTAAAAAAAATTTCTGGTTTTCTGCCTTTTGAAACTTAAACAATGTTTAGCCTACTGTAATCATTACTAGAATAATAGAAGGAGAGTGGACAAAAGGTTTCTGAAATAGGACTTTCAGTTGGATGACATTTGTGTGCATTCCTTTTGTGAGAGTGGAGACCAGATTTTGAGGATGGACTTTGGTCTATGATACTCCCAACGGAAATGATCCTGGTCTGGGCAAGCCTTCAGGAGTCACTGCTCACTCCACAAGAGGGTGCACAAAGACCACACAATACTGAGTTTTGAAGCCAGAACTCTTAGATGATGTCCAACTTTTTCTAGGGCCTTGCCCTCCACAGGGAGTCCCATAATCAAGAATCCTGACTTGTTCTCTCTGCATTTTCCCTTTAGATGCTGTGAGGCCAGAAGATTCCTGGCTGGATGAACTGGCTCCTCCAGCTACTGTATCTTCTTTGTGCAGAGCTGCCTCCCTCAGGGGTGGCTGATGCCTGTAGTCCAGCAGAGCCTCACAAACCCTGGACCCCAAAGGAACTGCTCAGGAACCCTCAGGGTTCCCAAAGGAACCCTGAGGAACTGCTAATCACCTGTGTCTGAGCTGGGCTCTTCTGTCTTCTTTCAGCTATTTCCTCCTGCCTTCATCCTTTTTGCTCAACTTTCTCTGATTGCTTCTCAGCTCCCTTTTCCTTGCCCAGGTATATCAACCACAAGAAACCAGGGCTCCCCTGCGTCAGATGTCTCTAGGCAGTAATAATCAAATCCTCCTGCTGGTCCCTTGGACTGCCTGCTTCACAGACATACTGACACAAAACACAAACATACACACACACACACACACACCAGCTACAAATCCTCCTGCTGGTCCCTTGGACTGCCTCCTTCACAGAAATACTGACACAAAGACACAAACATACACACACACACACACACACACACACGTGCATGCTAATCCCTCCATGGTGGCCGGTGTGTGGGAAGGGGCCATCTGGGACAGTAGCCTTGGGAGGCAGCTGTGAGGCCTGACCTCAGCATAAGTCTCAAGTCTGTGCCACACCTGAAGGGGGCATATTTACTCCCATGCACCGAGGATACGATGTCAAATAGCATTGCCCTGGACCTGGGCAGTCTTTCTGGGGCAAATCAAAGTTTTCCTCAGGTGCTAGGAAAACAAGAAACTCCAAAGCCAATGCTGGCCACTGTGTGTGAGAAGATACCCAGCTTCCAGAAATCCTAGCACTCTGCTGGCAAAGTCCCTGCAGTAACATTCTTCCAGGCTTGTTTGATGATTTTTATGGCAGGGGGTCTGGGTGAGAACACTAATTCAATTGTAGTATAACTCTGTTTAAACACACAGAAAAAAGAATCTTGACAAAACCCTCTTTCTTGGACTTCACAACACTGTGAAGCACAAACTGCCCCAAGGGCAGCCTTGTCTGCCCCACCTGCTAGATTCCCCTTCCCATCTCATCAAGGCGGGGCAAGAAGCCACTACAGTTGTCACCTCTCTTCTCTTCCTTTGCTATGCTATATTAATTGCTTGTAATGTGAGCTTTCTCTGAAGTTTGGGTATGTGAAGGTCCGAGAGGCCTGTACTATACCATTTCTTGGGCTCAGGACACAGTTCCTGATGTGGCTCAGAAAATACACTAGTCCCTACAGTTCACTAGGAAAAAAAATCTAGGTTTGTTATCAATTTCCCCCAGAAAATAATCTCAGCTTTTCCTACAACAGATACAGGGCCTATATTTATTAAAGAATGAGAGAGTTACAAAATGTGAAATTGAGAAAGAAACGTAGAGATCACCCATCCTAGACCAAGGGTCTCACTTTACAGAAGACGAAGATGAGGCCTGAAAAGAGAGGTGACTTGCCTGAGGTCCCATAGCTGGTTGGTGGAAGATTCTGGGCTGAAACCCAGTTACCCTGACTACCAGGTGAAGACAGTCTTGTTCACCTCAGTTTAAAGTGTTGTGTAGGAGCCAGTTAATTTTTTTTCCAATAAAGTCTGTATGTCTCTATTTGTGAATGTGGCTGAGAATACGAGGCCCTGAGAAGAGATACAATATCTCTGGCATTTATAACCATGCTTGGCAGGTACATGCTAAGAAAATATTTATTGAATGAATGGATGGGCCTGTGTGAACGCAGAGAAAGGGAGTGGCTATATGCCTAATATTACCCATGACTCAAGACCCAACAAAAGCAGACAAGTCAGGGACATACAGATATCAGGAGCACATTTTTTCCACTGGGTATGAAGCCTGAGTGAGGGAAGGGAGTATCTATTTATAAGTGATGTCTGAAAGCTTCATGTGTGCTGAGAGTCCAGTCTATGATCCCAGGATTAGACTTAACTTTCTTGGGCTCCATTTCCCTAATGTTCCTTAACATTAAGTAACTAGAGTGTATCTCCCAGATTGTCCCAGATCTATGTCAGGCCACAGACCTCAAGGGGGGAATGGATTTCACAGGAAAGTCATCTTATCTTGCGATGGTGTGCTCTTTGGGTGGTGGGTCCCTGTAGTGGGTAGAACGCCAACATTTCCACCTCTTAGCCTCTAACACATCTATTCCCAATCCCAAGCTTCATTTCTCCCTTTCCTCTGTTCACAAAAGTTCATTCTCTGGACTGAGAACTTGGAAGAGAGATGCAGGATTCAGTTTTGAATTGCGTGTATCTCGTGAAATAATCTTGGTATAACAAGTGAACTATTTAAATTCTTAGCACCTGTCTGGACATTTATTTCATTTCATATACCAGTCCATATCCAGTAACAAAGTATTGAAATCCTGTAACCATTTATTCTTCTCTTATCTGCTATAGAAAATATCTCCCCAACCTCCGCCAAAGAAGCTGGTTACTTAAACTGCATTTCATACTTCCCTCCCTGGACCACCCTCCACCACTTAGGAATACATCTGCCACAAAGCTCCAGCGCTGCTGCATCAGATAGAAAACAGGACTGGAAGAGGAGGGCCAGCATAAAATGGCCCTTCTCTTTTGGGTATTAGGTTCCAGACACTTGACAGGTTCCCTAAGGATTGCTAGGCAGATTCTGCTGCTTACTTTCAGTATCAAGGAGCAGGCTTGGCCTGGGTCCATAATCCCTAGAATGAGGAACTCTACCATCATGGCTGGAGAGCATCTCAGGTGCGGAGCCAAATTATATTGTGTTTCTCTAGACATGGGAATTAACCGGAGTTAGTCTTATCTTTGTAAAGTAAAAACCAGATGAACTACAAGTTCAGATACTCCCACTCGCCATAATATGCACTGAATTTTGTATGCAGAATGGGTTCACTTAAGTTCTCTATGATCTTATCACTTAACGGATAACATGCTTGTGAACCCCAAAAATCTGAGACAGGTCTCAGCTAATTTAGAAAGTTTATTTTGCCAAGATTGAGGATGCATGCCCATGACACAGCCTCAGGAGGTCCTGAAGACATGTGTCAAAGGTGATCAGAGCACAGTTTGGTTTTATAAATTCTAGGGAGACATGAGACATCAATCAACATATAGAAGATAAACATTGGCTCGGTCTGGAAAGGCGGGACAACTCAAAGCAAAGGCGGGAGGACTCAAAGTGGGGAGGGGGCTTCCAGGTCATAGGCAGATAAGGGACAGATGGTTGCATTTCTTCTGAGTTTCTGATTAGCCTTTCCAAAGAAGGCAACCAGATATGCATTTATCTCAGTGAGCAGAGGGGTGACTTTGAATAGAATGGGAGGCAGGTTGGCCCTAAGCAGTTCCCAGCTTGACTTTTCCCTTTAGCTTAGTGATTTGGGGGCCCCAAGATTTATTTTCCTTTCAAATTTCCCCCTTTATCTTTTTAAAAATCTTTTGGAGAAAGGACTTTAGAAGAAAATGAGTCTCTGGTCTCACATTTTCTCTGATCTTTCATGTTTAGGATGGTTTATTCCTAGACAGGTAGGTCCCGAGTTATTAGGAAAGCTCATTTTCAGCAGGTTGTGAAGTCTTATATTCTATGAAGAGAAAATAGGGGGAGGAAGGGAGAAAAGCAACATCAAACTAAAGAACAATCCTGGGAAATCAATATAGGCCACATTACTATGAAGTCCATATATCAGTAGGCAGGTATGAAAGTGGCTTATGTATGTAAACAGGTTGCTGTTACTTTCTTCTGAAGTTTAGTTGTCTAGCTTCAGTTCACAGGGCTTTACAAAAGCACAGCTTAGTTTTTGGTGGTTCCAAATTAGGAAAAATGGGGGAAAAAAAGAAGGAAAAAATGGAAAACATTATTTTGCAGGCTTGTAGCCAAGAAAAATTAGAATTCAGTCCAAACTGTAGAAAATAATAAAAATTGAAAAACATTAGACAAGACTAGAATCTAACAACAGGTGTTGTATTCATCCATTTTCATGCTGCTGATAAAGACATACCCAAGACTGGGTAATTTACAAAGAAAAAGGGGTTTAACGGACTCACAGTTTCATGTGGCTGGGGAGGTCTCACAATCATGGCAGAAGGCAAAAGTCATGTCCTACATGGCGGCAGACAAGAGAAAATTAGAACCATGCAAAAGGGATTTCCACTTATAAAACCATCAGATCTCATGAGACTTATTCACTACCATGAGAACAGTATGGGGGAAACTGCCCCCCACAACATGATTCAATTATCTCCCACCAGGTCCTTCCCACAACGTGTGGGAATTATGGGAGCTACAATTCAAGATGAGATTTGGGTGGGGACACAGCCAAACCATATTAAGTGTACTACAGTTTTTGAAATATAATTTTTCTCTCTCTAGTTTTCCATTTTTACAAAAGACAAATCATGGTAGGACTGATTTGCTTTATTATACTTGGCTTGATTATTTGTATATAGTGCAGCAAGAATAATTATTTATTTTTTACATAGGCTTTTAAATTGGCTTTGATGGAATTTTGTTCCATAGAAGGAATCTCACATAAGACTTTTTTAAAGCTGAGCCCAGCCATGGATTTGGACCATCAAATACTTATGAGTTGGGTGAATTCCTCTCTTCTTCAGGTTCCAAGATAAACTTGGGGCTCCTGAGCCTGTCAGAAAGTGACATTCTTTACTTACCACAGGTCAGGAACCCTGTACAGGGACTGTGTAGACAAAGATATAAGGCCAGTTTTTCCAAGGGGCTTATATTGGCTCCATAAGTCAAGTTTGATTCCTTAAAGGAAAGCACACCATTCCAGTCAAAGCCTTGGTAAAATAACCAGTTTCTCCAATTGTGTCCTGTTACAAATGAAAACAGATTCTTATTGTACTTATGCAAATAACTATTATCATAAATTAAGAATACTCACAGGCCAGGTGCAGTGGCTCACACCTGTAATCCCAGCACTTTGGGACGCCGAGGCGAGTGGATCACAAGATCAGGAGTTTGAGACCAGCCTGGCCAATATGGTGAAACCCCGCCTCTACTAAAAATATAAAAATTAGCCAGGCGTGGTGGTGGGTGCCTGTAGTCCTAGCTACTCGGGAGGCTGAGGCAGCAGAATTGCCTGAACCCGAGAGGCGGAGGTTGCAGTGAGCTGAGATCGTGTCATTGCTCTCCAGCCTGGGTGACAGAGCAAGCCTCCATCTCAAAAAAAAAAAAAAAAAAAAGAATATTCACAAATAGTTCCCAAATTATGTAGAAATCAGGTAGAGAGAAACAAAGGGAATATACTTTACTCAATTGTTAAAAGCTGTAAATAGCTTAAAAGTCTTTTTGACTCTGAAAAACAAAACAAAGGATCAGCAACGTTTTATTCTATTAGTTTAGTCCATGCACTTAATTCCTATTCTGTTTGTTATTCAGGAGCATTTCAACTCTCTATGAGCCCTGAAAGTTTCTCCTCTATTCTGATGTCACAATCTCCAAAGCTATCAGAAAACTGCATTCAAGAGCACCTGTTAAGAGTTTTATAGCTGATTATAAAACCACCTTCTAAAGAGGACCAAAACAAGACAAGAAGGGCAGCCGTAGTCAAAGACACAATTGACAAGGAAATTTGTTACCTCTGTGTCACACAATAATTTAACATAACAATTATAATTATTACTGATAACATACACTAAGTCATATCAGAATTATAGGAGTTTCCCATAATTTTGGAACACATACCAGCAACATATTTATACAAATACGGCCCAAAGAAAAACCAAATACCATTTCATATTTGACAATGCTTCCTGTATAATTTCTATATCAAATAAGCCAAACATGTCATTTTTTGACTTTAGGGATCCTATTAATAATATCTTAAAGGATTAATTAGGTCAGAAATGACATAATGTATAATTTGATTTTGGAAAGTTTGTCAAATATCAAAGGTTTAAAATACTTGATACCAGGCCAGGCATGGTGGCTCATTCCTGTAATCCCAGCACTTTGGGAGGCCAAGGTGAGTGGATCACCTGAGGTCAGGAGTTTGAGACCAGCCTGGCTAATATGGTGAAACCCCATCTCCACTAAAAATACAAAAAATTAGCCAGGTGTGGTGGTGCACTTCTGTAGTCCCAGCTACTTGGAAGGCTGAGGCAGGAGAATTGCTTGAACACAGGAGGCAGAGGTTGCAGTGAGCTGAGATCATGCCATTGCACTCCAACCTGGGCAACAGAGCGAGACTCCATTTTAAAAAGTAATAATAATAATAATAATAATAAATAAATAAAACACTTGATATCACAAAATGGGATTACAGGCCATTGTAAAGTAAGTCATTCATTTAACCAAAGTGATAACTCAAGGATTTCAAAAAAGAGAAAACCTTCATTCTTTGAGAGAGAAGACTTAATTTTCCAAATAATAAGCCCTAATAAAAATAGCATGAAGCCAATTAAATTTGTTTTTCAAATTTTACCCATATGCTAGTCTTGCAGAGGTGTGACTTTGACATTAATGGTTAATTTGTAGAGAAACTGAACTTATTTTATCTCTTAAAATCGGCCCTCACAATCTCACATGCCCACCTCTTCCACAATAGTCCCTGGGCCTTGTGGAGTTGAACGGCTTTAATTTCTGGGCCTGTGTCTCAAGAAGGTAGTTTATTTTGATTGGCATCTTCTATGGGGCCTGAAGATGAGGCTTTAATTGCTGTCAGTGTTTAAGAGTTAGAAAGGGATGGCCGAATAGGAACTGCTCCAGTCTACAGCTCCCAGTGTGAGTGACACAGAAGATGGGTATTTCTGCATTTCCAACTGAGGTACAAGGTTCATCTCACTGGGACTTGTTGGACAGTGGGTGCAGCCCATGTGAGTGTGAGTCAAAGAAGGGCGGGGTATCGCCTCACCCTGGAAGCACAAGGGTTCGGAGAATTCCCTTTCCTAGCAAAGGGAAGCCGTGACAGACGGTACCTGGAAAATCGGGACACTCCCACCCTAATACTGCGCTTTTCCAATGGTCTTAGCAAACGGCACACCAGGAGATTATATCCCATGCCTGGCTGGGAGGGTCCCATGCCCATGGAGCCTTGCTCACTGCTAACACAGCAGTCTGAGATTGAACTGCAAGGTGGCAGTGAGGCTGAGGGAGGGGCGTCTGCAATTGCTGAGGCTTGACTAGGTAAACAAAGCGGCCGGGAAGCTTGAACTGGGTGGAGCCCACTGCAGCTCTAGGAGGCCTGCCTGCCTCTGTAGACTCCACCTCTGGGGTCAGGGCACAGCTGAACAAAAGGCAGCAGAAACTTCTGCAGACTTAAACGTCCCTGTCTGACAGCTTTGAAGAGAGTAGTGGTTCTCCCAGCACGGAGTTTGAGATTTGAGAACTGACAGACTGCCTCCTCAAGTGGGTCCCTGACCCCCGAATAGCCTAACTGGGAGACAACTCCCAGTAGGGGCCGACTGACACCTCATACAGCCGGGTGCCCCTCTGAGACGAAGCTTCTAGAGGAAGGATCAGGCAGCAACATTTGCTGTTCTGCAATATTTGCTGTTCTGCAGCCTCCGCTAGTGATACCCCAGCAAACAGGGTCTGGAGAGGACCTCCAGCAAACTCCAACAGACCTGCAGCTGAGGGTCCTGACTGTTAGAAGGAAAACTAACAAACAGAAAGGAATAGGATCAACATCAATAAAAAGGACATCCACACCAAAACCCCATCTGTAGGTCACCATCATCAAAGACCAAAGGTAGATAAAACCACAAAGATGGGGAGAAACCAGAGCAGAAAAGCTGAAAATTCTAAAAGTCAGAGCACCTCTTCTCCTCCAAAAGAATGCAGCTCCTCACCAGCAATGGAACAAAGCTGGACGGAGAATGACTTTGACAAGTTGACAGAAGTAGGCTTCAAAAGATCAGTAAGTAAAACAAACTTCTCTGAGCTAAAGGAGGATGTTCAAACCCATCGCAAAGAAGCTAAAAACATTGAAAAAAGATTAGACAAATGGATAACTAGAATAAACAGCGTAGCGAAGACCTTAAATGACCTGATGGAGCTGAAAACCATGGCACAAGAACTACATGATGCACGCATAAGCTTCAGCAGCCGATTTGATCAAATGGAAGAAAGGGTATCAGTGACTGAAGATCAAATGAATGAAATGAAGTGAGAAGAGAAGTTTAGAGAAAAAAAGAGTTAAAAGAAACGAACAAATCCTCCAAGAAATATGGGACTATGTGAAAAGACCAAATCTTCGTCTGATTGGTGTACCTGAAAGTGACGGGGAGAACCAAGTTGGAAAACGCTCTTCAGGATATTATCGAGGAGAACTTCCCCAACCTAGCAAGGCAGGCCAACATTGAAATTCAGGAAATACAGAGAATGCCATAAAGATACTCCTTGAGAAGAGCAACCCCAAGACACATAATTGTCAGATTCACCAAGGTTGAAATGACAGAAAAAATGTTAAGGGCAGCCAGAGAGAAAGGTCGCGTTACCCACAAAGGGAAGCCCATCAGACTAACAGCGGACCTCTCAGCAGAAACTCTATAAGCCAGAAGAGAGTGGGGGCCAATATTCAACATTCTTAAAGAAAATAATTTTCAACCCAGAATTTCATATCCAGCCAAACTTCATAGGTGAAGGAGAAATAAAATCCTTTACAGACAAGCAAATGCTGAGGGATTTTGTCACCACCAGCCTTACAAGAGCTCCTGAAGGAAACACTAAACATGAAAAAGAACTGGTACCAGCCACTGGAAAAACATGCCAAATTGTAAAGACCATTGATGCTAGGAAGAAACTGCATCAACTAACAAGCAAAATAACCAGCTAACATCATAATGACAGGATCAAATTCACATATAACAATATTAACCTTAAATGTAAATGGGCTAAATGCCCCCAATTAAAAGACACAGACTGGCAAATTCGATAATGAGTCAAGACGCATCATCAGTGTGCTGTATTCAGGAGACCCATCTCATGTGCAGAGACACACATAGGCTCAAAATAAAGGGATGGAGGAAGATCTACCAAGCAAATGGAAAGCAAAAGAAAAGCAGGGGTTGCAATCCCAGTCTCTGATAAAACAGACTTTAAGCCAACAAAGATCAAAAGAGACAAAGAAGGCCATTACATAATGGTAAAGGGATCAATTCAACAAGAAGAGATAACTATCCTAAATATATATGCACCCAATACAGGAGCACCCAGCTTCATAAAGCAAGTCCTTAGAGACCTACAAAGAGACTTAGACTTCCACACAATAATAATAGGAGACTTTAACACTCCACTGTCAACATTAGACAGATCAATGAGACAGAAAGTTAACAAGGATATCCAGGACTTTAACTCAGCTCTGCACCAAGCAGACCTAATAGACTTCTACAGAACTCTCCACCCCAAATCAACAGAATATACATTCTTCTCCGCACCACATGGCACTTATTCCAAAATTGACCACATAGTTGGAAGTAAAGCGCTCCTCAACAAATGTAAAAGAACAGAAATTATAACAAACTGTCTCTCAGACCACAGTGCAATCAAATTAGAACTCAGGATTAAGAAACTCACTCAAAACCACTCAACTACATGGAAACTGAACAACCTGCTCCTGAATGGCTATTGAGTAAATAACTAAGTGAAAGCAGAAATAAAGATGTTCTTTGAAACCAATGAGAACAAAGACATGACGTACCAGAATCTCTGGGACACATTTAAAGTAGTGTGTAGAGGGAAATTTATAGCACTAAATGCCCACAAGAGAAAGCAGGAAAGATCTAAAATTGACACCCTAAAATCACAATGAAAAGAACTAGAGAAGCAAGAGCAAACACATTCAAAAGCTAGCAGAAGGTAAGAAATAACTAAGATCAGAGCCAGAACTGAAGGAGATAGAGACATGAAAAACCCTTCAAAAAATCAATGAATCTAGGAGCTGGTTTTTTGAAAAGATCAACAAAATTGATAGACCACTAGCAAGACTAATACAGAAGAAAAGAGAGAAGAATCAAATAGACTCAATAAAAAATGATAAAGGGGATGTCACCACCAATCCCACAGAAATACAAATGACCATCAGAGAATACTATAAACACCTCTGTGCAAATAAACTAGAAAATCTACCTTCCTGGACACATACACCCTCCCAAGACTAAACCAGGAAGAAGTTGAATCCCTGAATAGATCAATAACAGGCTCTGAAATTGAGGTAATAATTAATAGCCTACCAACCAAAAAAAGTCCAGGACCAGATGGATTCACAGCCGAATTCTACCAGAGGTACAAAGAGGAGCTGGTACCATTCCTTCTGAAACTATTCCAATCAATAGAAAACAAGGGAATTCTCCCTAACTCATTTTATGAGGCCAGCATCATCCTGATACCATAGCCTGGCAGAGACACAACAAAAAAAGAGAATTATAGACCAATATCCCTGATGAACATTGAAGTGAAAATGCTCAATAAAATACTAGCAAACTGAATCCAGCAGCACATCAAAAAGCTTATCCATCATGATCAAGTTGGCTTCATCCCTGGGATGCATGGCTGGTTTAACATATGCAAATCAATAAACGTAATCCATTATATAAACAGAACCAAAGACAAAAACCACATGATTGGGGCTGGGAGCGGTGGCTCACACCTGTAGTCCCAACACTTTGGGAGGCCAAGGTGGGCAGATCACGAGGTCAGGAGATTGAGACCATCCTGGCTAACATGGTGAAACCCCATCTCTACTAAAAATACAAAAAATTAGCTGGGTGTGGTGGTGGGTGCCTGTAGTTGCAGCTACTCGGGAGGCTGAGGCAGGAGAATGGCGTGAACCTGGGAGGCGGAGCTTGCAGTGAGCCAAGATCGCGCCACTGCACTCCAGCCTGGGCAACAAAGCGAGACTCTGTCTCAAAAACAAAAACCAAAAAAAAGCCCCACATGATTATCTCAATAGATGCAGAAAAAGCATTCAACAGCCCTTCATGCTAAAAACTCTCAATAAACTAGGTATTGATGGGACGTATCTCAAAATAATAAGAGCTATTTATGACAAACCCACAGCCAATATCATACTGAATGGGCAAAAACTGGAAGCATTCCCTTTGAAAACTGGCACAAGACAGGGATGCCCTCTCTCACCACTCCTATTCAACATAGTGTTGGAAGTTCTGACCAGGGCAATCAGGCAGGAGAAAGAAATAAAGGGTATTCAGTTAGGAAAAGAGGAAATCAAATTGTCCCTGATTGCAGATGACATGATTGTATATTTAGAAAACCCCATCGTCTTAGCCCAAAATCTCCTTAAGCTGATAAGTAACTTTAGCAAAGTCTCAGGATACAAAATCAATGTGAAAAAATCACAAGCATTCCTATACACCAATAAGAGACAAACAGAGAGCCAAATCATGAGTGAACTCCCATTCACTATTACTTCAAAGAGAATACCTAGGAATCCAACTTACAAGGGACGTGAAGGACCTCTTCAAGGAGAACTACAAACCACTGCTCAACAAAATAAAAGAGGACACAAACAAATAGAAGAACATTCCATGCTCACAGATAGGAAGAGTCAGTATCATGAAAATGGCCATGCTGCCCAAGATAATTTATAGATTCAATGCCATCCCCATCAAGCTACCAATGACTTTTTTCACAGAATTGAAAAAAACTACTTTAAAGTTCATATGGAACCAAAAAAGAGCCCACATTGCCAAGGAAATCATAAGCCAGAAGAACAAGGCTGGAGGCATCATGCCACCTGACTTCAAACTATACTACAAGGCTACAGTAACTAAAACAGCATGGTACTGGTACCAAAACAGAGATATAGACCAATGGAACAGAACAGAGCCCTCAGAAATAATACCACATATCTACAACCATCTGATCTTTGACAAACCTGACAAAAACAAGAAATGGGGAAAGGATTCCCTATTTAATAAATGGTGCTGGGAAAACTGGCTAGCCATATGTAGAAAGCTGAAACTGGATCCCTTCCTTACACCTTAAACCAAAATTAATTAAAGATGGATTAAATACTTAAATGTTAGGCCTAAAACCATAAAAACCCTAGAAGAAAACCTAGGCAATACCATTCAGGACATAGGCATGGGCAAGGACTTCATGACTAAAATACCAAAAGCAATGGCAATAAAAGCCAAAATTGGCAAATGGGATCTAATTAAACTAAACAGCTGCTGCACAGCAAAAGAAACTACCATCAGAGTGAACAGGCAACCTACAGAACAGGAGAAAATTTTTTACAATCTACCCATCTGAAAAAAGGCTAGCATCCAGAATCTACAAAGAACTTAAACAAATTTACAAGAAAAAATCAAACAACCCCATCAAAAAGTGGGCAAAGGATATGAACAGACACTTCTCAAAAGAAGACATTTATGCAGCCAACAGACACATGAAAAAATGCTCATCATCACTGGCCATCAGAGAAATGCAAATCAAAACCACAATGAGATACCATCTCACACCAGTTAGAATGGTGATCATTAAAAAGTCAGGAAAACAACAGGTTCTGGTGAGGATGTGGAGAAATAGGAACACTTTTACACTGTTGGTGGGACTGTAAACTAGTTCAACCATTGTGGAAGACAGTGTGGCAATTCCTCAAGGATCTAGAACTAGAAATACTATTTGACCCAGCCATCCCATTACTGGGTATATACCCAAAGGATTATAAATCATGCTACTATAAAGACACATGCACACGTATGTTTATTGCGGCACTATTCACAATAGCAAATACTTGGAACCAACCCACATGTCCATCAGTGATAGACTGGGTTAAGAAAATGTGGCACATATACAACATGGAATACTATGAAGCCATAAAAAAGGATGAGTTCATGTCCTTTGTAGGGAGATAGATGAAGCTGGAAACCATCATTCTGAGCAAACTCTTGGAAGGACAGAAAACCAAACACTGCATGTTCTCACTCATAGGTGGGAACTGAACAATGAGAACACTTGGACACAGGGTGGGGAACACCACAAACCGGGGCCTGTTGTACAGTCAGGGGATGGGGGAAGGATAGCATTAAGAGAAATAATGTAAATGACGAGTTAATGGGTGCAGCACACCAACTTGGCACATGTATACATATGTAACAAACCTGAATGTTGTGCACATGTACCCTAGAACTTAAAGGATAATAATTTTAAAAAGGGCAAAAAAAAAAAGATTTAGCAAGACTTGGTGTCCTTTTTAGACCCAAGTGTCAAAGCCCTGTAACTTAATGTCACAAGTACTTTTAAATCACATACAGAAAGATACATGGATGTAAGAACCTCAATTAAAAAAAAAAATTAATCTCAGTTTTTTCCTAAGCAAAGCAAAACTTTAATAATAATGATATAGAAATTATTTTAATAAAATGTAAAATTTGTTAGGTCAGTTACCAAAAGGAAAAAGACCTTCTGCAATGTACATAATATTATTTTGTAAGAAAACATTTCCTTTACATCTTTAAGAAAGTATTGTTAGCATCAGGCTACAACAAACAGATCTTGAAGAAAAAAAAATATGAGCTGAAAATGAGTTGAAGGAGATTGTTATTATTTCATGCCTTTTAAAAGGGGAGAGAAAACCAGAAACAGTGAGATGCACTAAACATTAAACTTTGGGTTAAAAAATTAAAATCTCTTATAATTTATTAAGAGTAAATCAATCCCTTTAGGGAATTTTATTGTTCTAATCAATTCTTTAGTGTACAAGTGTTTTTTTTTTACATCAAGCCCATTCTCTAGAAAGACCATTATAATTTCCCTTTAATTATAGATAACTTGATCATATAAATGTTTTTTTTAATAAAACCTTTTATTGTGACTTACACAGACCATTAATGATATGTTTGGACTTTCTGGTTTGTCCTGAACATTCCTCTTTCTTAAACAACCAGTCATTTTATTCTAGGTCTAAATTTACCGTACAAGATTCTGTAACTGCCCAAGGGGTTCGCTTTATCTGCTGCCTAGACAGAGTCAATTTATCAAGACAGGGCAATTGTAATAAAGAGTAATTAATGCAGAGCTGGCTGTGCAGGAGACCAGAATGTTATTATTACTCAAATCAGTCTCCCTGACAACTCTGGTATTTGTGTTTTTAAAATTAATTTGGTGGGTGGGGGATGGGGACAGTGAATTGGGAGTGCTGATTGGTTGGCTTGGGGATGAAATCATAGGGAGTCCAGGCTGTTCTCATCTGCTGAGTCAGTTCCTGGGTGGGAGCCACAGAACTGGTTGGCAGATCCAGGTGGGGCCATCTGGTTGTTAAAAATGCAAAAACCTGAAAAGACATCTCAAAAGGACGATCTTAGGTTCACAATAGTGACGTTACCTTCAAGAGTAATTGGGGAAGTTGTAAATCTAATGACCTGTGGAATAATGGCGGGTAATATTTAGAATTCCAGCCCCTCTCATCTTGACTTGGTGGCTGGTGGCCTTTCATTTGTTTTATAAGAACAGTTTAGCCTTTTGGGGAGGGCTATTATATAAACTATACACTAAATCCCTTCCCAAAGCTAGTTTGGCCTATGCCCAGGAATGAACAAGGACAGTTTAGAGGTTAGAAGCAAGATGGGGTCAGTTAGGTCTGATATCTTTCATTGTCATAATTTTCTCAGTTATGATTTTTACAAAATGGCTTCAATGCTTTCTCATGTAAAATTATTTCTTTTTAAGCTTTCTTACCAAAAAATGCCTCTTTATCTCATACCGTTCTTTACATTTCCCCTATTTCCTGGTTCCTTTAAACTTGTTTTATACATAACCTTTAAATAAGCTTTTAATTAGACGAAAATTGTTCACCTTTTTAAAAAGGACACTTTTTTTTAGAAAGAATGTTTTCCTACAATATATTTTTATCAGAAAATACCCAAATAATGAAATATCATTTAATTTAACTTTAGATTCTAAATTATGACATTTGTCTACAAGTATTTATCCCATTATATTTACCTAATTATTTTATTTTATTCATTTACCTAGATTATTTATGAAAACTACGATAGTCATCATTTAAAGTTATGAAACTCACCATTACAAAATTCTAACTGAGGCAGTGAAAAATATATGACCTAACTTACTCCATCTTGCTTCTAACCTCCAAGCTTGTCCTTATTCATTTCTGGACTTTGGGAGGAACTTATAGTTTAGCTTTGAAACAAAGATGGTAACAGTCCTTTCCCAAAACAAATCTCCTTACTGCCTGTGGACTATGCTGCCTAAAGCCACAAGATTAGAAGTTATGTTAGTTTTACTAAATAATTCAAGATGTAGTTATTTCCATTAAACCAATATCAATGTCTTATTTATTAAAGATCACACAAGCAAAGATTATTCTGTATTAGGCTAGGTTTATAGTTTTGTAACCCCTGTGCCAAATTCTGACACCTCATAGTATTTGGTAGGGATAAGTATGAAATTGCTTGATTAATAAATGCAAATAAAAATGTATGCTGGCAATTCTTAAGACATTTCTAATACTACTTTACCAATAATTTTAAAGCTAGTTTATTTATTAATGATTTTAAGTCTCATAAACTTGAAAAAGCATTTGACTAGTCTTTCCTTTTTCTGATAAAGTATTTGATTTAAGTGCTTTTATTTTTATTTAGCCAATTAATTAGACCTCTCATATATTTTCAGTAGTGAAATGTTGTGTACACAACACATAAATACATAGATGTATTAGGCTTGCTGATAGAAGAATATCTTATAGATTAACAAAGACCTTTTTCCCCCTCATCTTAGACTTTCAGATTCTTGATAACCTGTTTCACAACTCAAGGCAGTTGTCAGATAAAAAGCCTTAAATGTGCATATTAAAGGAAACAACTCAGGTGAAAATCAAATAGCAAAATTTACATCATAAGGTACAGAAAGAAAAAGGCTAGTGGTGCTAGAGGAACATTAAAGATGATGCCAAATCAAACATAACATAGAAATCTATCGTAGGATTGTATAAGGAGACCAATTTTATTTAGACAGGAACTATCTGTCAGGCCTCTGAGCCTAAGCCAAGCCATCGCATCTTCTGTGACTTGCATGTATATGCCTAGATGGCTTGAAGTAACTGAAGAATCATAAAAAAGTGAAAATGCCCTGCCCTGCCTTAACTGATGACATTGTCTTGCAAAATTCCTTCTCCTGGCTCATCCTGGCTCAAAAGCTCCCCTACTGAGCACCTTGTGACCCCCACTCTGCCCGCCAGAGAACAACCCCCCTTTCACTGTAATTTTCCTTTATCTACCCAAATCCTATAAAATGGCCCCACCCTTATCTCCCTTCACTGACTCTTTTTGGACTCAGCCCGCCTGCACCCAGGTGAAATAGCCATGTTGCTCACACAAAGACTGTTTGGTGGTCTCTTCACATGGACGCACATGAAATTCAGTGCCATGACTCGGATCGGGAGACCTCCCTTGAGAGATCAATCCCCTGTCCTCCTGCTCTTTGCTCCGTGAGAAAGATCCACCTACGACCTCAGGTCCTCAGACCAACCAGCCCAAGAAACATCTCACCAATTTCAAATCCAGTAAGTGGCCTCTTTTTACTCTCTTCTCCAACCTCCCTCACTATCCCTCAATCTTTCTCCTTTCAATCTTGACACCACACTTCAATCTCTCCCTTCTTTTAATTTCAATTCCTTTCATTTTCTGGTAGAGACAAAGGAGACACGTTTTATCCGTGGACCCAAAACTCCGGCGCCAGTCACGGACTGGGAAGGCAGCCTTCCCTTGGTGTTTAATCATTGCAGGGACGCCTCTGATTATTCACCCACGTTTCAGAGGTGTCAGACCACGCAGGGACGCCTGCCTTGGTCCTTCACCCTTAGCGGCAAGTCCTGCTTTTCTGGGGGAGGGGCAAGTACCCCAACCCCTTCTCTCTGTGTCTCTACCCCTTCTCCGCCGTTCTGGGGGGGCAAGAAACCCCCAACCCCTTCTCCTTCACCCTTAGCAAGTCCCGCTTTTCTGGAGGAAGGGCAAGTACCCCAACCTTGTATCTCTGTGCCCCGTTCCCTTATTTCCATGCCCTGACCTCTTATCTCTGCACCCAATCCCTTATTTCTGTGCCCTGACCTCTTATCTCTGTGCCCCAATCCCTTATTTCCACGCCCCATCCTCTTATCTCTGTGCCCCAATCCCTTATTTATGCACCCCAACCCCTTTCCCGCTTTTCTGGAGGGTAAGAACCCCCGAACCCCTTCCCTCCTTGTCTCTACTCTCTCTTTTCTCTAGGCTTGCCTCCTTCACTATGGACAACCTTCCACCCTCCATTCCTCCTTCTTCTCCCTTAGCCTGTGTTCTCAAGAACTCAAAACCTCTTCAACTCACACCTGACCTAAAACCTAAACCCCTTATTTTCTTCTGCAACACTGCTTGGCCCCAATACAAACTTGGCAATGGCTCTAAATGGCCAGAAAACAGCACTTTCGATTTCTCCACCCTACAAGACCTAAATAATTTTTGTTGAAAAATAGGCAAATGGTCTGAGGTGCCTTATGTCCAGGCATTTTTCACACTTCGTTCCCTCCCTAGTCTCTGTTCCCAATGCGATTCCTCCCAAATCCTCCTTCTTTCCCTCCCGCCTGTCCCCTCAGTCCCAAACCCAGCGTCACTGAGTCTTTCCAGTCTTCCTTTTTCTACAGACCCATCTGACCTTTCCCCTCCTCCCCAGGCTGCTCGTCACCAGGCCAAGCTAAGTCCTAATTCTTCCTCAGCCTCTGCTCCTCCACCCTATAATCCTTCTATCACCTCCCCTCCTCACACCCGGTCCGGCTTACAGTTTAGTTTGCGACTAGTTCTTCCCCACCTGCCCAACAATTTCCTCTTAGAGAGGTGGCGGGAGCTGAAGGCATAGTCAAGGTACATGTACCTTTTTCTCTATCAGACCTCTCTCAGATCAGTCAGCGTTTAGGCTCTTTCTCATCAGACCCCACTAAATATATACGGCAATTCCAATATCTCTCTGTCCTACAGTTTAACCTGGAGTGACTTAAATGTCATCCTGACTTCTACCCTCCCCCTAGATGAAAGGGAAAGAGTTTTTTCTCTAGCCCAATCTCACGCTAATAACCACCAGCTTCACGAGCCAGACCTCCAGGAAGGCATTAGAGCAGTCCCCCAAGAGGATCCCCAATAGAACTATCAGGCAAATTCCCCAGGTATAGCTAGGCAAGATTACATGATTTCCTGCCTAGTTGAAGGGCTTAAAAAGGCAGCTTACAAAGCTGTTAATTATAACAAGCTTAAAGAAACTACCCAAGGTAAAGACGAAAACCCAGCCCAGTTCATGGCCAGCTTGGCAGCAACCCTTAGACGCTTTACTGCCCTAGACCCAGAAAAGCCAGAAGGCCGCCTTATTCTCAATATGCATTTTATCACCCAGTCAGCTCCTGACATTAGGAAAAAACTTCAGAAATTAGAATCTGGCCCTCAAACCCCACAACAGGAATTAATCAACCTCGCCTTCAAAGTGTACAATAATAGAGAGGAAGCAGCCAGACGGCAACGCATTTCTGAGTTACAATTACTTGCCTCTGCTGTGAGACAAAACCCAGCCACACCTCCAGCATACAAGAACTTCAAAATGCCTAAGCCGCACATGCCTAAGCCACAGCAGTCAAGCATTCCTACAAGACTTCCTCCATCAGGATCTTGCTTCAAGTGCCAGAAATCTGGCCACTAGGCCAAAGAATGCCCGCAGCCCAGGATTCCTCCCAAGCCATGTCCCATCTGTGCAGGGACCCACTAGAAGAGAGACTGCCCAGCTCGCCCGGCAGCCACTCCTAGAGCCCCTAAAGCTCTAGCCCAAGGCTCTCTTACTGACTCCTTCCCAGATCTGCTTGGCTTAGCGACTGAAGATTGACGCTGCCCGATCGCCTCGGAAGCCCCCTAGACCATCACGGATGCCGAGCTTCAGGTAACTCTCACAGTAGAAGGTAAGTCCATCCCCTGTCTAATCGATATGAAGGCTACCCACACCATGTTGCCTTCTTTTCAAAGGCCTGTTTCCCTTGCCCCGATAACTGTTGTAAGTATTGATGGCCAAGCTTCAAAACCCCTGAAAACTCCCCCACTCTAGTGCCAACTTGGACAACACTCTTTCATGCACTCTTTTTTAGTTATCCCCACCTGCCCAGTTCCCTTATTAGGCCAAGATATTTTAACCAAATTATCTGCTTCCCTGACTATTCCTGGACTACAGCCACATCTCATTGCCACCCTTCTCCCCAATCCAAACCCTCCTTCGCATCTTCCTCTCGTATCCCCCCACCTTAACCCACAAGTATAAGACATCTCTACTCCTTCCCTGGCAACCGATCACATGCCCATTACCATCCCATTAAAACCTAATCACCCTTACCCCGCTCAACGCCAGTATCCCATCCCACAGCACGCTTTAAAAGGATTAAAGCCTGTTATCACTCACCTGCTACAGCATGGGCTTCTAAAACCTATAAACTCTCCTTACAATTCCCCCATTTTACCTGTCCAAAAACTGGACAAGTCTTACAGATTAGTTCAGGATCTGCGCCTTATCAACCAAATTGTTTTGCCTATCCACCCTGTGGTGCCCAACCCGTAAACTCTTTTGTCCTCAATACCTTCCTCCACAACTCACTATTCAGTTCTTAATCTTAAAGATGCTTTTTTCACTATTCCCCTGCACCCCTCATCCCAGCCTCTCTTTGCTTTCACCTGGACTGACCCTGACACCCATCAGTCCCAGCAGCTTACCTAGGCTGTGCTGCCGCAAGGTTTCAAGGACAGCCTTCATTACTTCAGCCAAGCTCTTTCTCATGATTTACTTTCTTTCCACCCCTCCACTTCTCACCTTATTCAATATATTGATGACCTTCTTCTTTGTAGCCCCTTTGAATCTTCTCAACAAGACACACTTCTGCTCCTTCAGCATTTATTCTCCAAAGGATATCAGGATACGTATCCCCCTCCAAAGCTCAAATTTCTTCTCCATCCGTTACCTACCTCGGCATAATTCTTCATAAAAACACAAGTGCTCTCCCTGCTGATTGTGTCCGACTAATCTCTCAAACCCCAACCCCTTCTACAAAACAACAACTCCTTTCTTCCTCGGCATAGTTAGATACTTTCACCTTTAGATACCTAGTTTTGCCATCCTAACAAGACCATTATATAAACTCACAAAAAGAAACCTAGCTGACCCCATAGATCCTAAATCCTTTCCCCACTCATCTTTCCGTTCCTTGAAGACAGCTTTAGAGACTGCCCCAACTCTAGCTCTCCCTGACTCATCCCAACCCTCTTCATTACACACAGCTGAAGTGCAGGGCTGTGCAGTCACAATTCTTACACAAGGACCAGGATTGCGTCCTGTAGCCTTTTTGTCCAAACAACTTGACCTTACTGTTTTAAGCTGGCCATTATGTCTCCGTGCAGTGGCTGCTGCCGCCCTAATACTTTTAGAGGCCCTTAAAATCACAAACTATGCTCAACTCACTCTCTACAGCTCTCATAATTTCCAAAATCTATTTTCTTCCTCACACCTGACGCATATACTTTCTGCTCCCCAGCTCCTTCAGCTGTACTCACTCTTTGTTGAGTCTCCCACAATTACCATTGTTCCTGGCCCGGACTTCAATCTGGCCTCCCACATTATTCCGGATACCACACCTGACCCCCATGACTGCATCTCTCTGATCCACCTGACGTTCACCCCATTTCCCACATTTCCTTCTTCCCTGTTTCTCACCCTGATCACACTTGGTTTATTGATGGCAGTTCCACCAGGCCTAATCGCCACACACCAGCAAAGGCAGGCTATGCTACAGTACAAGCCACTAGCCGGCCTCTTAAAACCTCTCATTTCCTTTCCATCGTGGAAATCTATCCTCAAGGAAATAACTTCTCAGTGTTCCATCTGCTATTCTACTACTTCTCAGGGATTATTCACGCGCCCTCCCTTCCCTACACATCCAGCTTGAGGATTTGCCCCCACCCAGGACTGGCAAATAGCTTTACTCAACATGCCCCGAGTCAGATAATTAAAATACCTCTTAGTCTAGATAGACACTTTCACTGGATAAGTAGAGGCCTTTCCTACAGGGTCTGAGAAGGCCACCGCAGTCATTTCTTCCCTTCTGTCAAACATAGTTCCTCGGTTAGGCCTTCCTACCTCTATACAGTCTCAAAACAGACCAGCCTTTACTAGCCAAATCACCCAAGCAGTTTCTCAGGCTCTTAGCATTCAGTGGAACCTTCATATCCCTTACCATCCTCAATCTTCAGGAAAGGTAGAACGGACTAATAGTCTTTTAAAGACACACCTCACCAAGCTCAGCCTCCAAATTAAAGATTAGACAGTTTGGGCAAGACTTTTACCTCTTGCCCTTCTCAGAATTAGAGCCTGTCCTCGAGATGCTACAAGGTACAGTCCATTTGAACTTTTATATGGATGCACTTTCTTGCTTGGCCCCAACCTCATCCCAGACACCAGCCCTCTAGGCGACTATCTTCCAGTCCTCCAACAGGCTAGACAGGAAATTCGCCAGGCTGCTAATCTTCTCTTGCCTACTCCAGATCCCCAGCCATATGAAGACACCCTAGCTAGATGATCAGTTCTTAAGAATCTGACCCCTCAGACTCTACAACCTTGATGGACCGGACCCTACTTAGTCATCTATAGTACCCCGACTGCCGTCCGCCTGCAGGATCCTCCCCACTAAGTTCACCATTCCAGAATAAAGCTGTGTCCATTGGACAGCCAGCTTAATCCCTCCTCTTCCTCCTGGAAGTCGCAAGTACTCTCCCCTACTTCCCTTAAACTCACTCGTATTTCTGAAGAACAGTAATAACCCTTATGAGCCTAATACATCCCTTCATTCTATTAGGTCTGTTCGTCCTTACCCTACTTTTTGCAACAAGGCTTTACGAAGTCACCCCCACCACTTAGGCCGAGCCCCAAAAAAACCTGTCATCCCTACTATTTTCTATCTAGTCATACTCCTATTCTCCGTTCTCAACTACTTAAAAATGCCCTACTCTTGTTTACACTGCCAGTTTACACTGTTTCTTCAAGCCATCACAGCTGATATCTCTTGATGCTATCCCCAAACCGCCACTCTTAATTCCCTCTTAAAGTAGGTAGATGATCTTTGCTGGCAGGGCACCCTCCAATACTTCCACCTTGATGAAGTTCTATTCTTTACTTTTATACTCACTCTTATTCTCATTCCCATTATTATGCCACCCTTTACCTCTCCCCAGCTATCTCCACCACACTATCAACCTTACCCATTCTCTCCTAGCCGCTTCTAATCCCTCCTTAGCGAACAACTGCTAGCTTTGCATTTCCCTTTCTTCCAGTGCCTACACAGCTGTCCCCGCCTTACAGACAGACTAGGCAACATCTCCTGTCTCCTTACACCTCCGAACTTCCTTTAAAGCCCTCACCTTTACCCTCCTGAAGAACTCATTTACTTTCTAGACAAGTCCAGCAAGACTTCCCCAGACATTTCAGATCAGCAAGCTGCCGCCCTCCTCCGCACTTATTTAAAAAACCTTTCTCCTTATATTAACTCTACTCCCCCCATATTTAGACCTCTCACAACACAAACTACTATTCCTGTGGCCGCTCCTTTGAGTATCTCTCAGCAAAGACCCACTAGAATTCCCCTAGGTAATCTTTCACCTTCTCGATGTTCCTTTACTCTTCATATCCGAAGCCCAACTACACACATCACTGAAACAATTAGAGCCTTCCAGCTCCATATTACAGACAAACCCTCTATCAATACATACAAACTTAAAAACGTTAGCAGTAATTATTACTTAAGAAGACACTTACCCTGTATTTCACTCCACCCTTAGCTACCTTCCCCTTGCTCGTCAGACTCTCCTCCCAGGCCCTCTTCTTGTTTACTTATACCCAGCCCCGAAAATAACAGTGAAAAGTTGCTCATAGATACTCAATGTTTTCTCATACACCATGAAAATCGAACCTCCCCCTCTACGCAGTTACCCCATCAGTCCCCATTACAACCTCTGACAGCTGCCGCCCTAGCTGGATCCCTAGGAGTCTAGGACAAGACACCCCTTTCAGCACTCCTTCTCACCTTTTTACTTTACATCTCCAGTTTTGCCTCGCACAAGGTCTCTTCTTCCTCTGTAGATCCTCTACCTACATGTGTCTACCTGCTAATTAGACAGGCACATGCACACTAGTTTTCCTTACCCCCAAAATTCAATTTGCAAATAGGACTGAAGAGCTCCCTGTTCCCCTCATGACACCGACATGACAAAAAAGAGTTATTCCACTAATTCCCTTGATAGTCAGTTTAAGACTTTCTGCCTCCACTATTGCTCTCGGTACTGAAATAGCAGGCATTTCAACCTCTGTCACAACCTTCCGTAGCCTGTCTAATGACTTCTCTGCTAGCATCACAGACATATCACAAACTTTATCAGTTCTCCAGGCCCAAGTTGACTCTTTAGCTGCAGTTGTCCTCCAAAACCGCCGAGGCCTTGACTTACTCACTGCTGAAAAAGGAGGACTCTGTATTTTCTTAAATGAAGAGTGTTGTTTTTACCTAAATCAATCTGGCCTGGTGTATGACAACATAAAAAAACTCAAAGATAAAGCCCAAAAACTTGCCAACCAAGCAAGTAATTATGCTGAACCCCCTTAGGCACTCTCTAATTAGATTTCCTAGGTCCTCCCATTCTTAGTCCTTTGATACCCATTTTTCTCCTTCTTTTATTCAGAACTTGTATCTTCCGTTTAGTTTCTCAGTTCATCCAAAACCCTATCCAGGCCATCACCAATCATTCTATATGACAAATGTTTCTTCTAACATCCCCACAATATCACCCCTTACCACAGGATCTCCCTTCAGCTTAATCTCTCCCACTCTAGGTTCCCACGCTGCCCCTAATCCCACTTGAAGCAGCCCTGAGAAACATCGCTTATTCTCTCTCTCCATACCACCCCCCTAAATTTTCGCCGCCCCAACACTTCAACACTATTTTGTTTCATTTTTCTTATTAATATAAGAAGGCAGGAATGTCAGGCCTCTGAGCCCAAGCCAAGCCATCGCATCCCCTGTGACTTGCATGTATTCGCCCAGATGGCCTGAAGTAACTGAAGAATCACAAAAGAAGTGAAAATGCCCTGCCCCGCCTTAACTGATGACATTGTCTTGTGAAATTCCTTCTCCTGGCTCATCCTGGCTCAAAAGCTCCCCTACTGAGCACCTTGTGACCCCCAGTCTGCCTGCCAGAGAACCCCCCTTTGACTGTAATTTTCCTTTATCTACCCAAATCCTATAAAACAGCCCCACCCTTATCTCCCTTCACTGACACTCTTTTTGGACTCAGCCCGCCTGTACCCAGGTGAAATAAACAGCCATCTTGCTCACACAAAGCCTGTCTGGTGGTCTCTTCACACGAACGTGCATGAAACTATTTTTTAACTGGATCTCTGAGCTCTGAGCAGAGGAATTATTTTGAGGTTAGACCATGTGATGCTTTTACAGTACACTTAAAAAATTTTTTTTAACAAAGACATTTCTAAGTGTCTAAATTACACCCTTCCTTAAAAACCCCAGAGTAGCCTCTGTTGCAATAGCTATTAATGAAGAAAACAAAATCCATTCAACTGAGAGGAAAAAACTTTTGCTCAAAAATAAGACAGGGTCTTAGGAGGACAAAAAATAACCCCATGAAGGCCTTTTAAATACAAACACGCGCACACACACACACACACACACACACACACACACAATCTTGGATATTAGCTTTTAATTAAGATGACTTTTAACCATTGAGCTCCTTTGAAAAAAATCTTTTAAAATCTCATTACTATATTCCAGCTAGGACAAATTGCTGCTACTTCAGCAGTACCAAGTATCAAACCGGAAAAAGTTTGATTTAGGAACCAAACCCAGGCTGTCGTGGTGGGAAAAAAAAGAAGGCAGAACCTTAAGCTATCAAACTGCGGTACGGGGCAATATCCATTTCAGTTTGTCCTAGCTAGCAAAAAGGCGGCCTTGTTATGTAAATAAAGCTCCTGTAGTAGTCAAAATAAAAAACCTTTCCTCTTTTTGTTTTCCTTGGTTGGCCATTTTTCTCCCCACCATACCACCTTTTTTTGTGTGTATGGGAATTTAGCCACTTCAGAGGCCTTGTTCCCCATAATTTGGAACTTCCTTTGGATTTGATAAAGTCAGATAGAGTTGATCAAACCCAATGGGAAAAAGACCAAAACAACAAAAAAACAGTTAAGCAAAACAAACGATGGCACAACTTATAAGATCACTGAGTGCTCTAATGGTAAGGAGAAATTAAGAGTAGCTGGTTGTTAGTCTTAAATTTAACCAAGACAAACCCTAATTCAGGTACTTACCTAGGGATGGGTCTCAGGCTGTAGACTGCTCTCTACCATCCTAGAAGCAGGAAAAAAACCTCATCTTCCCTGTCGGAAGCGAGCTCAAACTCCATAAAGGAATTACCTGCCTTCCATCATCATGGAAACAGGAAATCTTGCCTGCCTTGTTGGAAGCAAGTAAAACTCCAAAAAAGAGGAGTTGTATTAGCTTAGTGATTTGGGGACCCAAGATTTATTTTCCTTTCACATGCTTTATTGGCAATAAAAACATTACAGATTCTGGACTGAATAAAATATTAGGACAACACTGGTCTGGCAGATCAGGAGGCTTCTATCATGGACAAATTCCAGCACAGAAGAGATGGCAAGGATTAATTAATGTGACAGCTATTAACTGAGTGATTACCATGAGCCAAGCAACAGTCTCCCATTTGGAATACAACAATGTTAAGAACAGAAAAAGATCCCTGACTTCATGGGCCTTATATTCTCACAGACAGATATAGACGTTAAGCAATAAATATATAAATAAGTAAATTCTTATTAGAATTAGTATATTAGAAAGTGATTAATTGTTATAGCAAAAACTAAAAAAAGATGACGAAATTTGAAAGCTTGTAGGGGGAGGGAACGGCAGGTTACAATTTTAAATAGGGTGCTCAGGGTAGGCCTCATTGAGAGGACGGTATTTTAGCAAGCACCTGAAGAAAGTAAGGGAGGTAGCCATGTGCAAAGCTGGAGCAAGTGGGGTCCAGGCAGAGGAAACAGTCAGTGCAAATGTCCTGAAATGGGAGTGTAATTGAGGGAACATATCAGGCAAGTAGGACTGAAACCAAGTGAGTCAGGGAGAAAGATGAAGTGAGGTAGAGGGAGGAGGGGGGTGCAGATCATAGGCTTTGTTGGCCATTTTAAGTCCTTTGGCTTTTCTCTGAAGGGAATGGTGAGCTATTTATTGGAGAGTTTTGAGCAGAAGAATGACATAATCTGACTTACATCATACAAGTATCTCTTTGGCTCTGCTAGGTTGAGGCATGCATTTGACTTGAACCAAAGCTCTCCTTCAGATGATCTTACATTTCACATCTAGATAAGGAAACAAACAAATGAAATATGGAGATGTGTCACAAGCAGCAGGAGAAGGAAAGTTAAAAACCAGCTAGGGGCTGCTCTGCCTATGGAGTAGCCATTCTTTATCCCTTTACTTTTCTAACAAATTTTCTTTCACTAAAAACAAACAAACAGCTAGCGAGTCAGCTATGGAGAGGCTTGTTTTGAATAATCCCATGCAGAAATTCCAGAAATGTTTCCCAACATGTAATAAGCTTTTTTGCAGTGATTGTCAATTTTTGTGCCCTAGAAAGTGTGCCTACTTCAAGAGAGCCACTCCAAGGATGTTAAACAGGCCCTGCTTGGCAGAGTACAGGCTCCTCTAGTGGGCAACACAGAGCCAGAGGGCTTAA
Organism: Homo sapiens; assembly: GCF_000001405.40. Taxonomy (NCBI): domain Eukaryota; kingdom Metazoa; phylum Chordata; class Mammalia; order Primates; family Hominidae; genus Homo; species Homo sapiens. The sequence continues at coordinate 70,291,099 of NC_000014.9, read as the reverse complement.
CACCTCAGTTCACCTTTTTTTTTTTTTGGCTCATTACCGTTGCTTTTTTTCCTAAACAGGAAAGAAACTGCCTTCCAACAAGCAAAATATACCTCAAAACTCATTCACAGCACCATCTCGATCAAGGCACTGGCACAGAACACTTTTATTAAAATCATCTACATCATCATTCACTCAAAGGACATTCATCAAACACTTGCCATATGCTAGGGACTTTTCTAGATGCTGGCGATTCAAAGAGGAAGATTCTTTCCTGTCTTCATATTGCTTATACTTTAGTCAAAGCACCAATTTATACGTTAAAAGTGTTTATAGACTATAAGTGCCTTTCTAGATATAGGAGTCAAAGGCTCTGAGGAGAGAGTAATTTACATTGTCTGAAGAATGGGGAAAACGTCATGAACCTGATTTCACTAGAGCTGCATTTTGAAGTTGAGGAAATTCATGGTATACTCAGGAAATGTTGTCTTCCTTAGGATGGAATATGAAGTTAATGGGAAACAGTGGCAGAAAGGCAGATCAACATCATATTACAAGGGGCCTTAAATTCCTTGCTAAGAAAATCAGAGTGAACACTTTCAGGCAAAAGCAGAAGAATCCCAGAATTATTTATCTCTCTTAGGTAACTTTCAGCAGTGTCAAAGGTAGACTTGAGAATCACAGTGAAGTTTCTTTTTTCTCTGTTTTAACCCTGTAATCATGGGTGTAGAGATCAGGAGTTTCTCCTCTGGAGACTCAATGGGGGTCCACTCTAATAGGTGGAAAGACAAGGGATTAAAACAGAAAACTTTCAATGGCAATAGAGAAGCTGGGACAGATGAAAAGACTTCAGGGATACAGCATGGTAAATATGTCACTTGCACTCTGTATGATTGTCACCCCAAATAAATAGGTGAGGCTCTGACTCCCCCTGGCAAATGGCATGTGTTGGGGCTGTTTCCTAACCTAACACTGTAGACAAACGTTCATTCAGGTGCCCATTAGATTACTAGATTCTTTAAGACAGGGATCATATCTTTTCATCTCGGTATTCCTAAAGCCTTCCAATCACAGGGCACAAGGTGGGCTGGATGTTCATTGAATGAATGGAAAATAGGCATTCCTAGACGAAGATGACAAACCATTTCTAAGTGTAAGCATTCATTGTTGTTTTTTTCTTTTTCTTTTCTTTTTTTTCGCGACCGAGTCTTGCTCTGTTGCCCAGGCTGGACTGCAGTGGCTCGATCTCAACTCACCGCAACCTCCGCCTCCTGTGTTCCAGCGATTCTCCTGCCTCAGCCTCCCAAAGTGCTGGGATTACAGGTGTGCACCACCACACCCGGCTAAGTTTTGTATTTTTAGTAGAGGTGGAGTTTTGCCATGTTGGCCAGGCTGGTCTCGAACTACTGACCTCAGGTAATCCACCCACCACGCCTGCTGGGATTTCAGGTGTGAACCACCGTGCCTGGCTTTAGTGTAAGCATTTGCATTAATGGTTCAATGATAGCAAGACATTATGTTTGTTGATCAGGGTTCAACCTAAACTTTCCTCACATTTTTATAAATAGCTTTTATTAATTTGCTAAACTTCCCATCTGACAAATAGCCATAGAGGCTAGGGTACTAGCTTCAAAGTACCTTTTTTCCTTAGCTGATTTTATCGAGTGGCTATGTGCCTTGGAGTGTTCTGAGAAGATGTTAGAAAAGGGGAAGTACCGGTTTCCGTATCAGTTGGATGGTGACAGCGAACGTGATTCAAGTCCCTAAATCTCAACTACATGTAGGCGTTCCGGAATGAAAACGCTGACGTTCCAATTTCCGGCTGGACCCGCAATATGTTACGGTGGATCGATTGCTTTTGCCTGGCAGATGCCTCTTAGGAGAGGGTTGGGTTCCCAGAGGGAGCTTCTCTGGGAGGTAAAATCTGGAGACTTAGTTCCACGTGAACAGGTGAAAGCTTTTTAAAAATTTTTTATTGTATTTTATTATTTTATTTTACATTTTTACCTAGCCTCAGAAGTAATCAGGTTCATTTCTGTTGCACTCTGGTAGTTACAAACAACCACTAAGGCCAGCTAAGCCCAGATTCAAGGGTAGGGTAATTGAGATTCCACCTCTTGGTGGCAGAATAGCAAGGTTACATAGCATAAAAAATGTGGGATGGAAGCTATCTCTGGAAAATACTATCTGCCATATACACACACATACATGTATATATATTTGTGTGTATATATGTGTGTATTTACATACAGATAGTTTTTCTCTCTAAAGAACAGCAATGTTAGTAAGTTAGTCTGACCTTTATATCTCTGCTCTTTTGTAGGAATCAAAGTTTTTCCCCTATCAGTGCTACTTCCTTTTCTCCCCATTATTTTTGTGGTAGCCCACATAGCTACTATACACAAAAACATGAAGTAGCCAATTGTGTGGGCAAAATGGCAATTGCCATTTTAATTATTTTTTTGAGACAGAGTCTTGCTCTGTCACCCAGGCTGGAGTGCAGTGGTGCAATCTTGGCTCACTGCAACCTCCGCCTCCTGGGCGCAAGCAATTCTCATGCCTCAGCCTCCTAAGTAGCTGGAATGATAGACGTGTGCCACCACACCTGCCTATTTTTTGTATTTTTAGTGGAGATGGGGTTTCATCATATTGGCCAGGCTGATCTCAAACTCCTAATCTCAACTGAACCTCCTGCCTTGGCTTCCCAAAGTGCTGGGATTATAGGCGTAAGCCACAACGCCTGGCCCATTTGCCACTTTAAATACTTGGACGAGAAGCTAGGCTCATGTCTTTAACCTAGTAAGTGAACCTGTGTAGAGAGGAAAGTGGTCTGGCTTCCCAGCCTCAATCATTAATTAAAAGATGAAGAAAAGGGTGCCTTCTTTCTCTATAATTTGAGTGATACATGTAATCTCAATTTACTGGGATTTCCTTGGAGTCCATTAACAGATTGCCAGTCCTTTTTATCATGCCCTGTTTTCTGAATTCCAACTAGGAAATTTTCCACCATGCATATGTTGCTTTTCACCATTGGATAAACATTGCTTGAAATTATATTGATAGGCAGGTGCAATGTTGAATGTAACAAGGATTTTGATATTGCTATTGTAGTCTCCTAATGTGGGCCTTACGGCCAGCAAGAGAAAGTGCTTCATATTCTAGTTAACTTCGGTTTGCTATAATGTAGTTAGGTTAAGAGAAAGTTTCAGCAGAAAAGTGTAACTCTGTCCACCTCCAAGCTAATCCTACTTTCCATGGACAGTTATGCCCCAGACATGCATATGTACCTCAGTATCTTCTCAGCCCACAGTGCTTCCCAAATTCTACACGCGGCTTTCTATTTTTTTGCAATGTGTGTGTACCACCCTACTATCTGTATTAGATTTCTATTGTGTTAACAAGCTCTCACAAACTTAGTGGCTAAAACAACACAAATGTATTATTTTACAATTCTTGAAATCAGACATCTGACATAGGTGTCACTGCGCCAAAATAAAAGGTGTTGGCAGGGCCGCATCCCTTTCTGGAGAATCAAAGAGAAAATTTATTTCTTTGCCATTTCCAGCTTCTGGAGGCTGCCCTCATTCTTTGTTTGCATTTCTCTTCTATTTTCAAGGGCAGCAATGGCAAATTGAATCCATCTCACATCACATCACTCTGACCTCCACTTCTGCCTCCCTTTTTCACCTTTAAGGACCTTTATGATTACACTGGGCCCCCCAGGATAATCCAGGATAATCTTCCTATCTTGAAGTCAGCCATCAGCAACCTTAATTCCATCTTCAACCTTAATCCCTTCCTGCCATGTAAAATAACATATTTAGTGTCCAGGGATTATAAGGTAGACATCTGCCTACAACAAGAAGATTTTTATTATTTTGGAGATATATATATCTCAACACACTAAAATACTTGAATAGCAATTATAAAGCCATCTACAAGTTATCACTTAACCCTTAGGTTCTTTTCAACCTTCATAATATCCAAAGCACTACTGTATTAGTCTGTTTTCATGCTGCTGATAAAGACATATCTGAAACTGGGAACAAAAAGAGGTTCAATTGGACTTTCAGTTCCACATGGCTGGGGAGGCCTCAGAATCGTGGCGGGAGGTGAAAGGCACTTCTTACATGGCAGCGGCAAGAGAAAATGAGGAGGAAGCAAAAGCAGAAACCCCCGATAGACCCAACAGATCTCTTGAGACTTATTCAATATCACCAGAATAGCATGGGAAAGACTGGACCCCATGATTCAATTACCTCCCCCTGGGTCCCTCCCACAACTCATGGGAATTCTGGAAGATAAAATTCAAGCTGAGATTTAAATGTGGACACAGCTAAACCATATCAACTATGAACCAATGAGATTTTAAGTAGAATTCTCTACCTGTCAGATAAGCAAAGATGAAAACATTTGACAATGTACATGATTAATGAAAATGTGTAGAAATAATGCACATTCACTGTTATTAATTTGATGTAAATTTGATAAGTGTACCAAAAATTTTAAATAGCTATCCTTTTTGGCCTACCATTTCCACCTCTGCAAAGTAAATATTGAGATGTTCTTTACAATATTGTTTGTAATTTTGAAGAAAAAAGAGTATCTCTCTATATAAATAGATTATATCATAATTTATATATACCATATATGTCTGGCACACATATATCTCTGATATATGTATATAGAGGTATATATAATTATGATATATCTATATGTTAAAATAATACCTATCCCTTTAAAAATGTATGGGTAGAGGACTTCTAGTTTTGTCCAAGGTGGAGTATCCCCATTTATCCCTAGTATCCCCCTTTACAACTAAAAAACCCTGGACTTAACAAATATAGGAAGACTCTGAAAGATGGAAAGATGACAGACTGCCTAGGGACTTCATAAAACTTTATTAAGAACTGAGATGAAGTAATCACCTAGCTTCTGAATAATGGATATTTCTCTCAATTCTTGTTGCATGAAGACATTCTGGTAAATAGCAAAGAGTCTTTTCCAAACAAAAAAAATTCTTAGGGATAAATGGCAAATTCAAATCATCCCAGATCTCTACACATTTACTTCTTAGTTTTGGTGTGGATGCACTTGTGGGATGTGCATCGTAGGATGGCAGAAAACCAGAGATCGTCCCTGGGAAGCCCCAGGCTTCTAAAGAAACATCCTTATTATAAAACTGTATCCATGTAAGTGAGTGAGAAATATAGCCATCATTTTAATTAACACATCTCTAGTTCTACTTGAAAGGCATTTAAAGAGGTTGGTAGGACACTTGGCTCCCTTAGCAGTTGCTGAGCAAATCCTTTGAAAAGCAGTGGAATTTGAATAGCTCAGAGGATGACAGAGAAGGAACATAAGGATTTTGGAAAAGAAAGATATGAGGAATCCATCATGATCCTTTTTAGCAGGGGATGCCAGGGCAAGGAAAGGAGGTCTCAGTGGATTCTCTGTCTTCCTGGATCATTTTGTTCACCTGTATCATCTACTTAGTTTTTGAAACTGCAATGATTCACTCTGGAATGACTCTGGGAGTCAAGAAGAGTGTATCCACCTGTGTCAAATGCTTCTGAGACATTACATGAGAATAGGATACAGAACTGATCATTGAGTTTGGCAACATGGAGGTCATCAGGATCTTTACTGAGGAAGAATAGGCATGAAACCTCATTGGAGTGGATTGAAGAAAGAATGGGAAGTAAGGAATTGAAAACAGTGGATGTGGGAAACTTCTGAGAAATATTTTGCAGTTAAGGGGGACAGAGAAGTAGAGTGGTATCCAGAGAGAGAAGACTAAGTTGGTTAGGGTCATTGACATGGTTTGGATTTGTGTTCCTACCCAAATCTTATGTTCAACAATTAATTCCCAACATTAATTATAATATTGGAGGTGGGACCGGGTGGGAGGTGACTGGATCATGGGAGTGGATTTCTCATGAATAGTTTAGCACCATCCCCCTTGGTACTGTCCTCGAGATAGTGAGTGAGTTCTCAGGAGATCTGATTATGTAAAAGTGTGTAGCACCTCCCACCTTGCCCTCTTGCTTTTGCTCCTGCCATGTGAGACATCTGGTCCCCCTTTGCCTTCTGCCATGATTGGAAGCTCCCTGAGGCCTCCCCAAAAGCAGAAGCCACTACACTTCCTGTGCAGCCTGCAGAACCGTAAGCCAATGAAACATCTTTTGTTGGTAAATTACCCAGTCTCAGGTATTTCTTTAATGTGAGAATGGACGAATACAGTCATATTATGGACAACCTTTTTTACACTGGCAAAGGGTAACCCTGAAGATGTCAAAACCAGAAAATTTGTTATAAGTGTAGGTTTGGGCTGGCAGCGATGGCCCATGCCTGTAATCCCAACACTTTGGGAGGCCAAGGCAGGGAGATTGCTTGAGCTCAGGAGTTTGAGGCCAGCCTGGGCAATGTGGTGAGACCCAATCTCTATTTATAAAAAATTTTTTAAATAGGAAGGGTAGGCTTGGAAATGGGAATGTGGCAGGAATAACTTGAAGGGTGATGTTGAGAGACTGGTAGAGCAGATGCAGCAGTAGTCCAGGAATAAAGAGGTAAGAATATGAGCCTGGGTGGCGGCCACCAGGATGGAAATTAACAAACAGAAATAAGGGCCATTATAGAAAATGGTGACATTTACTGAAAGACTTTGAGCAGCACGCTCTAATCACTTGCTCAGAGATGAAAATGTGGGGCTGAAAGGGATCTTAGTATAAACTTATTTTACAGAAGGGGAAGAAACAGTTCCAGAGAAAGGAAGAAGTTAAAGCGTATATTTTACATAAAAAGAAATTAAGTGTACACATAAATGTAGCCAGGCACAGTGGCTCACACCTGTAATCCCAGTACAGGGCTAAGGTGGACAGATCACTTGAGCCCAGGAGTTTGTGACAAGCCTGGGCAACATAATGAAACCTTGTCTCTACAAAAAATACAATTAGCCAGGCATGGTGGTGCGCTACTTGGGAGGCTGAAGTGGGAGGATCGCTAGAGCCTGGGGAAGTTGAGGCTGCAGTGAGCTATGATCACACCACTGCACTCCAGCCTGGGCTACACAGCAAGACTCTGTCTCAAAAGAGTTAATGAAAGTATACACATGAATTTACATATATGTGTGTGTGTGTGTGTGTGTGTGTGTGTGTGTGTGTTCAGAGCATACTTGTCGCTGAGAACATCCCTGTTAGGGGTCCTGGATGAGATCATCTGAGCACTTTGCTTCTTGGTCTTCAACATTCCCCATTGCAAAGGGCAGGACTTAAGGATTTCCCCATTTGTGTCTCTTACATGGACCCCAAAGGGCAGGACCATTGTACACATTATCAAAAGTTGCCCTTTGCTCTGGTGAATGTCAGCTTAAACTGCTGGGCTCTTGGGCCTTTGCTCTGCAGTTCTACCCTATGGTCATCTTGAATTCGTCAGCTTTCACACTCTCCTCTACACTTCTCTTGTCCTCAGCCCACCAACTCTCCTGACATTCCTTCGTGTTGGTGCTGGCTTGCTCTCTGCCTCCAAAGCTATTTAGAGTTCAGGCACCTGCCCTCCTTGTTGCTACCACCCAGAGATGCTCACTTCTGAATTAGCTCTGTTTGTAGGGAAGAATTATTTAGCCCTTTTGGAAGGGGAGCTGCTCAGGCTCTGGCGGCACAGCACTTTAATGTTTCATGTTTCCCACATTCTGCTCTTCCTGGGTGCACAGATGCTTCCTTAAAGGGATGGGGGAGGCTGAGTGAAGGCACGCACAAGGGCAGACTCACATGGCATTGGGCACACTGCCATTGCCACTCAGGCATCACGGTTAACTCCAACACAGGATGTCTAGTTCCTTCATTGCTTATGGAGACCTGCTTTCCCTCCCTCTAGCTTGGCTACTCTCACCATCAGGTAGGAATGAATATATTTTAACTCTAAGTGTAAACCCCAATAGTTATTTCCCAGAGGCCTCTGAGCTGCACATAAAACCCAGAATATGGCTAGTCTTATGTTGTGTAGAATCATCCATTCAAGGACAATTAAAAGAAACGTCAGGAAGCCTCCTCTCACCTGGCACTCATCTACTACCTTGGGCAAGTTATTTAACCATTCCAGGTCTCATGTTCCTCACCTGGTGAGGATGAAGTGAATAAATATAAAGCATTCAGAACAATGCCTGGCATTTTGGCTATGTTCCAAATAAGGAGGGGGTTATAATCACATGTGTATACTGCACATCAAACATTTACATACACGCACAGCCATTTCGATTGACAGAGATCCACTTGGCCAGAGCCTTACAGAAGTGAAACTGGAGTTTAGGTGAAAATGTTTCCAGATGCTGCCACTCCTTTCTCATGTTTTTTTGTTGTTGTTGTTGTTGTTTGTTTCCTGGATGCCCTGCGTATGAGTGCTGCCTATAGGAAGATTCTGCACTCCTCTTAGGCAGGAGAAAGAAGGCAAGTGACACTAGGGCAGGAAAGCTTGCTGAGGAGAGGTAGGGAACATCTGAATGCTAACAGCCTAGGACTGCTGTTTGAGATCTCCCTCTCACATTGGTTGCTTTCTGTGCAAGAACACAATGTGGTGGGAGTAATGAGGAATTTAAAAGGCAGGCTGATGGCTGGGCTCACGCCTGTAATCCCAGCACTTTGGGAGGCCGAGGCAGGTGGATCACGAGGTCAGGAGATTGAGACCATCCTGGCTAACATGGTGAAACCCCGTCTCTACTAAAAATATAAAAATCAGCCACGTGCGGTGGCACGCGTCTGTAGTTCCAGCTACTCCGGAGGCTGAGGCAGGGGAATCGCTTGAACCTGGGAGGTGGAGGTTGCAGTGAGCCGAGATGGTGCCACTGCACTCCAGACCGGCGACAGAACAAGACTCCGTCTCAAAGAAAAAAAAAAAGGCAGGCAGACATCTACGGCAGACAGTGAAAGAGCCCTGTGAGAAAGGGACTGAACAAGGAGCATCATATGTAACCAAGGAAGCAGTGCCAAGTAGCCCCAGCTGGGGCTTAACAAGAGGAAGCTGGCTGGAACCAGAGCTCTGGGTAGAATGGGGAGGTGTTTATGAAGTATAGGTACTCAGCTTTCTCTTTGTTTATGAACTCTCAGATGGAAATGAAGGAACTTGGAACTGTGTGTGTGTGTCAGAGGAAATATGAATGAACAAGTTGGGGTGATTTTTAAAACATGGCTAAGACTGATTTAAACCACCATTCCTAAACTGCAGAAATTCTAAATCCCTCCCTAAGATTTCTGTGAATTTCTGGATGGGCCCATGTCCACTAGGATCCCCCATTGACTCCACATTCCAATTCTACTGAGTGCATTCCATTTATAGATAATTTCCACACCCTGTTTACCAGCCTGCCGAAGTTAGAATCTAGTTTTGCCTCTTACCTGCTGCGTTACCTTGGACAAATCACTTAACCTCTCAGCTTCTGGTGCCTCACTCACAAAATGGTGAAAATACGATTGCTTACCTTATAGGTTTGCACTGAGTTTCATTAAATAAGATAGTTACTATAAAGCATTTAAATATGTGTATGTATGGATGTTAGAATTCCACTTGGCACATAATCAACATGTTAACATTATTATTATGCTGAGGTGATTATTATGCATTAAAACAGATGTTGAACTCAGCCTCTTTTCTTTCCACTCAAAACAGCCCTCTCAAAAGGGTCTGTGTGTGTTTACATGTTTGTGTTTGTGTCTGTGTTTATGCATGTGTTTGTATGTGTTTTTTTTGTGTGTGTGTTTTTGTGTATGTGTGTGTGTACAGAAGACTTTATTAAATATTAGAGTGATGAACAAGTTTTCATTTAATTTGTGCCAACAATGTGTAATTTCAGGGTATATATTTAATAATGGTGTTCCTAGAAGTTCCTCAGACATTTCCACTCTAAACTCACCCTTTCTCATTCCTCCTGCATTCCACATTTCTAATCTTTGTGAATGCAAAGTAACTGAGCTACCTGTTACTCCACCTTTAGCTCTACTGACTGATGTTCTCAGGGTCTCATCTTCCACCCCCAACCTGTTTATCAAGAACTGCCTTAAGCATAGGTATTTCCTTTGCACATATCATGCAGTAGATACAGTTCCCAGTGGTTCTCATGAATTCTTTAATATTGAAGTATGTTAAAAGAAATCTGATTAATTATTTTATCATTTGAACTTTTACTCCGGCTGCAGTTTTTCTATAAATCCACATTTTCACACTTTAGGCTGCAAAAGTAATACAAGAGACCGTGAGCCCCTAGAGAGCAGAGATCAAATCACTTTCATTGTTATACTCACAGCATTACCCAGTCGGTGGATCAAAAATTGATATACATTTGTATTTCATTGTCTATGTATATAAATATATATATATATATATATATATATTTTTTTTTTTTTTTTTTTTTTTTTTTTTGAGATGGAGTCTTGCTCTGTCACCAGGCTGGAGTGCAGTGGTGCAATCTCGGCTCACTGCAACCTCTGCCTCCTGGGTTCAAGCGATTCCCCTGCCTCTGCCTCCCGAGTAGCTGGGACTACAGACGCATGCCACCATACCCGGCTAATTTTTTGTATTTTAGTAGAGATGGGATTTCATCATGTTTGCCAGGATGGTCTTGATCTTCTGACCTCGTGATCTGCCCGCCTCAGCCTCCCAAAGTGCTGGGGATTACAGGCGTGAGTCACCGCGCCTGGCCATCTATATCTTTCCAGTAGGAATGAAATACCTTTTTCTGGGAGAAGGCTTCAAGCCTGATGTTCATTTGCAATTAGTAGATATACAGGTGCGGAATTTCTTCACTATCATGTCAGTAAAGCAAATGATTCCTTTTGGCCTCAACTAGATAAAGGCCCAAATGATATCTGTTCCACTGTATAAGCCCGGGAACTTTTGAACATCACAAGTAATTCTCATTCTTTTCCTCCACAGGATTTGGTTTATAACTTTGTGTTGTTGTAGTTAACCTCCTTGATATTTGATTTTTCTGAGGCATAGTAAATAAGTTCAATTTCTTTTTCTTTTTAGGAAAATATATTTTTTATTGTTACACCAGCAGTGATACAAAAAGTCTAAACAGAAAAGTGTTCTTTTTTGTTTTAAACTTTTATTTTAGGTTCAGGGGTACATGGGCAGGCTTATTACATAGGTAAGCTCATGTCACAGGGGTTTGTTGTAACAGATTACTTCATCACCTAGGTACTAAGCCCAGTACCCAATGGTTATTTTTTTCTGCTCCTCTCCCTCCTCCCTCCCCCCACTCTCAAGGAGACCTCAGTGTCTGTTGTTCCCTTCTGTGTGTCCATGTGTTCTTATCATTTAGCTCCCACTTATAAGTGAAAGCATGCGGTTTTTGGTTTTCTGTTCCTGCATTATTTTTCTAGGGAAAAATAACTTCTATTTCTACCAAGTTTAACATTGTGACTACAGTTATTCCTCCCAGTGGGGAATTCCTGGGAGAAGAAAAGATAAAAGAAATGGTTTCTGAAAGGGAAAGGTGACATTCTTTTCTCCATAGACATGTTATTTTTAGAACGGCAGATGTCTCTTTTGTTTCATACACAATTTTGTTCAAAAAATATTTGTGGCCGGGCACGGTGACTCATGCCTGTAATCTCAGCACTTTGGGAGGCTGAGGTGAGCAGATCCATTGAGGTCAGGAGTTTGAGACTAGCCTGGCCAGCATGGTGAAACCCTGTCTCTACTAAAAATACAAAATTAGCCAGGCGTGGTGGTGGGCACCTGTAATCCCAGCTACTCAGGAGGTGGAGGCAGGAGAATTGCTTGAACCTGGGTGGTGGAGATTGCAGTGAGCCAAGATTATGCCACTGCAACTCTTCTGGGAGATAGAGCAAGACTCAGTCTTAAAAAAAAATTATAATAAAGAGTCTGACGTCTGACTCTATGTTTCATCCTGACATCTTTTAAACCTTGCCTCTTCTTCTTTCCCTCTGTCCCACATACGGAAAACTGATTAAAAAAATAAAGCCCAGGTGATGTCTCCTTTGGTACCAGTAGGAAGTTCAAACAATGCATAGGAACCCTTGACTTAGTCTCACTCCCCAGTCACCATAAAAACCCCAACCCAAACCACTTTCTCTGCTTTCTCAACACGTTTTTGGGCCGGCTTGGGAGCCACTTCTTTCCCCAGAAAGCCTTATTATGTGAGTATTAAATCTTTTCATACTCTCTTGGTAGGGGGTAGTTTACAACAAATTTCTGGTGGAGATCTATCTTGATTCTACAGTGTCCACAACAATTTTATTCAATATTTAATGCATACGAAGAAATATTTATATGTTTATGTATATGTTTACAATAGAAAAGTAGCTGTCTTAGTCTGTTTCTGCTACTATAACAAGATGCCTTAGGGTGGGTAATTTGTAAACAACAGAAATTTATTTCTTACAGTTACAGAAACTGGCAGGTCCAAGATCAAGGTGCCAGTAGATTCAGTGTCTCGTGAAAGCTGCTCTGTGCTTCCAAGACGGTGCCTTGGTGCTGTTACCTCAGATGGTGGAAAGGACAGAAGCTGTGCCCTCATGTAGCAGAAGAGATGGAAGGACCAGGCAGCTCTCCGAAGCTTCTTTTAGGAAGTCTTTAATCCCAGTCACAAGGATGGAGACTGGATGACTTAATCACTTCCCGAAAGACTCCGCCTCTTAATAGCACCACAATGGGGATTAAGTTTCAACGTAAGGATTTGGGAGTGACACAAACATTCTCAAGCCATAGTAGTAGCAATTATATACAAAAAAGCTCTAGAAGTATCATAAGAAATAGAACATTATATTTGCATTGCTTCTCCCTGATTTCATGCTTCACTCTCCCTAAACCTATCCCCACTGCAGCTCATCAGGGTATTAATTAGCCTGAGTTTGTTATTTATCACTCCCTTTGTTTCACTTTATGTTTACATTTTAACACAGATGTACGTATTTATTTATTTGACATGGAGTTTCGCTCTTGTTGCCCAAGCTGGAGTGCAATGGCACGATCTGGGCTCACTGCAACCTCTGCCTCCCAGGTTCAAGCGATTTTCCTGTCTCAGCCTCCCGAGTAGCTGGGATTACAGGCATGTGCCACCATGCCTGGCTAATTTTGTATTTTTAGTAGAGATGGGGTTTCTTCATGTTGGTCAGGCTGGTCTCGAACTCCTGACCTCAGGTGATCCGCCCGCCTCGGCCTCCCAAAGTGCTGGGATTATAGGTGTGAACCACTGTGCCTGGCCAGATGTATTTATAAATTGTGTGTGTGAGTTTTTTTTGAGTTGAGGTCTTGCTATGTTGCCCAGCCTGGTCTTGAACTCCTGGGCTCACAGGATCCTCCTGCCCCAGTCTCCTGAGTAGCTGAGGTTACAAGCATGTGCCAGCATGCCTGGTTTATGTTTACTGATTCATTATAACTGAAATCTTATGGTATATACTATTTGGGGACTTTTTCTTCTCAATGTTGTCTTTGAAAGTTTTCTTCACATTGATTTATGTAGCTGCATGCATTCATTGTCTCTACCATATTGTATGTCCATTGTCCATAAGTAATTTACAAATTATCCTTTCAGTGGACATGTTGGATTTTTCCCCTTATCTTTTAATCTTACATACAGTATTACTGTGAGGATCCTCGTACATGAGCTCTGGTGAAAATGTGCAAGTTTCTCCAGCATATATGCCCAGGAGTGGAATTTCTGGATCATACAGTACGCGCAGCTTTAACACATTTGATGATGACAAATCCATGTTCAAAGAGGCTATAAAAATTTACATTCTGTTTTCATACCTAACCATTTGGATAAACAATTCTCCCAGCACCATTTGTTGAAGGATTCTTAACCTACTGAGCCACAATATCACCTCTGCCATAAACTAAGCTTGCATACGTATGTGGTTTCTGAGTTCTCCATTCTGATCTATTTATTAGTCTGTTTTCATCTGTTTCTGTACAAGTGCAATGCAGGCTTATGAATATAGCTTAGTTATAAGCTTTGATATCTAATAGAGTAAGAACCCCACTTTATTCTTTTTCTTTAGTCGTATCCAAACTATTCTTGACCCTTTGTTCTGTAAAAATTTTAGACACAACTTATTGAGCCACTGACCCCCAAAACCCAAAATGTGTTAAGCTTTTGATTGGCATTGAATTGAATCTATAAATCAATTTGAGGAAAACTGATATCTTTGCATTATTGAGTCTACCTATGTATAAACATGGCATAACTCCCCATTTATGGAAGTCTTCTCCAATGTCCTTCAGTAAAGTGTTACAGTTTCCCCCCAGGAAAGGCTTGTACATTTTTGGTTTTATTTATTCCTAGCTGTCTTATTTTTATATGCTATTGTAAATGTAATCTTTTTTAAAATTAAGCATTATGTTTAAATTATCTGCGGATTTGATGGTGCTTGATGCTTTATATATAAAAGAACTGACATGCATGTCTTGGTTTTGATTCAAAATACAGTAACCTTGCAAGAATCCCTCATTAATTCCAATATTTTACTAGAAATTATTTTGGTTTTTATCTGCACCTCTGAAAAATAACGGTTTTTCCTTTATTTCCTTTCTGGTCCTTGTAACTTTTAACTCTTTTTTTTTTTTTTTTTTTTTTTTTTGCTTTTTACTGGCTAGAATTTTCAAAACAATGTTCTATATCAATGTCTTCTTCCTGATAGTAAAAGAGAAGGTTTTTACCATTATGTATGTATGTAGACTTCTGTAGATACTTTACACTGGCTAGTGGCTATCCTGAGAGTGCTCCTTGGTTGCCTGACAATGCACTGTCTAGGACTGGACAATGCACTATCTAGGACTGGGAGCACTGCCTCTTCCCAGCTCAGCAGGAGGGAGTAAGGCTGAGCCCAGCCTGAGGACTGAAGGTGCTACTTCCCTGAGATGCCTGAATACAATTTCCCCAAGATCACCAGTAAAAATGAAAACATATGACCACACAAACACATAAACATAAATGTTCACAGCAGCATTATTCACAATAATCAAAAAGTAGAAACAACCTAAATGGCCATCAACTGATAAATGGATAAATGAAATACGGCCTATTCATACAATGGAATATTGTCGATAAAAAGTAATGAAATACTGATGACACATGCTACAACATGGATGAACTGCAAAACCATTATGCTTAGTGAAAAAAGCCAGTCACAAAACACATATTGGATGATTCCAATTACATTCAATGTGAAAAAATGGATTTATAGATATAGTAGATTAGGAGTGGAAATAGAGAGTGACTGTAAAGGGACATAAGGTCTCTTTTTAGGGGGACGGAAATGTTCTAAAGTTCAGGTGTGATAAAGGTAAAATTAGGTTATTGTGCAACACTGATAATATACTAAAATTCACTGAATTATACACTTAAACACGAAAATTTATGGAATGTAGATTATATCTCAGTGAGGCTGTCTTAAAGACGGATCAATAAAAGCAGCCGATGTTCCATGACAACTGATTGGCTGGCATCTAACCCTAGACCTCTTGGTGTCTAGGTCCTGACTGCTTATTTGCTGCATACATGGCTGCTCTGATGCTTGCATAGAGAGTAGAATAGCAATGGGGCTGGGCATTATCACAAATCACTGAACAGCTAGTATCTACCCATTGCTTGCTACATAAGTCCTAATTGTATTTCCTGCACTAAAAGCCACTCTCTCTCTTACACAATAAGCCTGTAGCAAGGCTACAGAATACCCATCTCCCTTACACTCAGAGCAGAGCCACAACTCTATCCAAGAATGCTCTGGCCCCTACTTACCTCTGCATTGGATTACGAGACAATGGAAGAATTGGACCTTATCTTGAAATATTCCAGATTCCCCCCTGCACAAAAAATAAAATAGAATCTGTTTTATATACCCATATCAGATGCCATCATGGTGTTTATCGTCACCTACTTCTTCTAATCCTGGTCTGCCCACAGTTTCTACTAGATGGGTGTTGAATAACTGAATGTTTCTTTCCCCATATATGGAGGTGCATATCCTATATTTCTCCTTTAAAAATGCTAATGTGGTGAATTACATAAATTAATTTTCTAATGTTAATCCAACCTTCCATTCCTGAGACAAGCCCAGCTTGGTCAATGTAACAGATACTGTTGGTGCCCTGCCTAGATCCCCTGGGATCCTTTTTACCGGCTTGTGCCCATTCCCTAAATGCTACAGTGATGCTGCTAATAGCTCACACCTGCCTCATTCTCAGGAGACACACCCCTGTTTGATTGGAATTGCCTCACCAGAAGGTGCTTACAAGTTATACCCTGCAGTGATCCTGGGAGGTATCTCTAGTAGAGAGACCATGTGGGGGTCTCTGGCAAATACCAGTAAGAAGATTATAGTGCAGGCATCAACCAGCCACAGTCTTTGGCTACTACAGTGCTGACGTAATGGGCTCATGAATGGAGTAGGCATAATGGTAGAGATGAAGGCTATGCATGGGCACAAAAGCAGGCCATCCCTCTCACCATAGCTGACCTAGCTACTGCTGCCACCCTACATGTCAATGACGGAGACTAATGCTGAGCCCTTACTAGTGCATGAATCTTTGAGGAGACCAACCAGCTATTAGTGACACTTGATTACTTAAGACCCCTTGCACCCTAGAAAGTGCAGCAATTCATTTTGACTAAAATTGACATGTTTTCTATGTATGAGTTTACCTTTTCCTGCCTGTACTGACTTGGCTAGCACCTCTGTTCATGGGCTCATAGAGTATCTGATTAACTAACATAGGATCTCTCATATACTATTACTTCAGATTCAAGGAACAAAAGTTATGACAAAAGAGGTTCCGCAGTGGGCAAATAGCTGTGTAATTTGCTGATCTTACTGCATCCACATTGTCTGTAACACAGACAGTAAGAGTCTACCTAATAGAGTAGTGGAGTCCACTATCTTGCTTCACCTCTCAGGACACTAGCCTAATAGAGTAATGGAATGGCGTCTAAAAAATGCAGTTGTGGCCACAGCTTGGGGATGTTGTCCTACAAAGATGAAGCACCATCCTTCAGGATGCAGTATACAAATTAAATCAGAGGTTTGCAAATAATGGTTCTTAGGCCAAATATGGCTTGATGCAGTTTTTATCAACAGAGTTTTATTGAACACAGTTACCAATCATCATTTATATATTATCTATGGTTCCTCTTATGCTACATCAGCATAGGTGAGTAGCTGTGACACAGACCATATGCTGTACAAAGATTAAAATATTTACTGTCTCACCCTTTGCAGAAAAAGTTTGCCATTCGTCCATTAAACCAGTGGTCCTTATGTAATTCTTTTTCTCAATAAAATATGGAGTCTCAGAGCCAAGGGTTGGGAGGTAGGATGGCCCTGTGCCAGCAACCCACTTGGGAAAGTTTTGCTTTCAATTTTGAAACTCTAGCTCTTTAGTTTAAGAACTAGAAGTGCTGGTTTGTAGAAGGGGGACTGTTTCTACTAGAGGACATATTAATGGTTCCACTAATCTTAAAGCCATGGCTGCCACTAACCATTTTAGGTCCACTGTGCCAGCACACCAGCAAGACACGAGTTACCGTACTTGAAGGGGTAGTTGTCTTCGATAACCATGAGGATTCATGATTATTATTATGCTACATAATGGTGGCAGGGAAGAGTATATTAAGCACTCACATGAGCCACTTGGGGTATCTCTTGGTAATGCCAACCCCTATTTTAACTGTAAATTGGCAAGTAGAGCAAACTATGGTCAGATAAGTTCATGGTAACCAAAATCTCATCCCCCTCAAGAGACACCACCAGGCAAGCCACCTAGACCAGCAGAAGTGCCAGCTAAGGGTGAGAGAGAAAGAGAATGGGCAGTAAAGAAAGGAAACAGTATCAGTTCTGATCTCAGGACCAACTGCAGCAGTGGAAGCTATAAGCTTCATCACACTAACTAGGAACCCATCATAGTCCTAAAAGATACAATCCTGAATATTGAAATCCCAAAAAGAAAAACTCCTATAAGTCCCAAATCCCCAAAGTCACAACCTTGAAAGATCAAAATCCTAAAAATACAATTCTGGAAAAAATAATAAAAAATTCCTTAAAGTATATTTATTTACATTTTTAAAAAAGGATTTGAGAAACATGAAACATGAAAACATGAGAGAATACTTCATTAGCCACTTTATACAATAAAATAAGCCATAAATAACATTTTTGCAAGTAAAAACACTCAGGTTACCTAATGATGGGTACACTAATGACAGTCACAACATATAACCTAGGTAAAGAAATAGCTTTTATAACTGCAGTAATATGAAATATCGTGACGGACAACCTAAGTCTTTTGATGAGACCCCAAAGAGCCAAGATCTCAAGAAATTTTATCTTTCACAAATGTAGATGGGCAAAAAGGGCATCTCATTTATTGCGGAGCTTTCAATGTTTTTATGTACACGCACAATGTTTGCACGCAAAGTCAACATTGTGATAATGCATCTTTGTGGAGTCAAATTTGCAAAAACTTCATAAAACAAATTAGAACTCTAAAAGTCTTTACACAATTTATACCTCCAGTATTGGAAATGATGCGAAGATATAACAGCATGGCAAACTTTATTTATTTTTTGAGACAGTCTCGCTCTGTGGCCCAGGCTGGAGTACAGTGGCGTGATCTCGGCTCACTGCAACCTCCACCTCCTGGGTTCAAGCCATTCTCATGTCTCAGCCTCCCTAGTAGCTGGGATTACAGAAGCCCGCCACCATGCCTGGCTAATTTTTGTATTTTTAGTAGAGATGGGGTTTTGCCACGTTGGTCAGGTTGGTCTTGAACTGCTGACCTCAGGTGATCTACCCGCCTTGGCCTCCCAAAGTGCTGGGATTACAGGCATGAGCCACTGTGCCTGGCCATCATAGTAAATTTTTTAAAATAATGATGACAATTTAAAATAGCAGGGAAAAAACTAAAAAAAAAAAAAAGGAAAATTAGACAAATGAAACAGTGTATTACAGGAATAGATTATGGGTAATTGCACAGAGGTAGTTCATAAGAGCTGGCCAACTTCCATGATCATTATGTTTTGAAGTCTTGCATCACAATAAATAGCTGTTTTTTTTCTCTTAGGGCATGACTCTCCTCAGAAAATACACTCACATTTTCTATGTGGTGCTGCTCTTTTTGAAATTCTCTTTGTGTTTCAATATACATGAACATAAGCATTCCCTTTGAAACTTCCCATCTTCCATGCCATGCTTCCATGTTGTTTTGGGCACTCAGAAATCCATTTCCCATGCACTTGTATACAGACTACAAATCTGGCAGAAACAACATTTGTGATCGAATAGCAACACCCTTGCATAAAGTGTCTTCTTATCCTACCACGCTCATAATAATTATTTTTGAACCAGTCAATAACTTCACTATATTCTTCAGGTCAATTCCAATTTAACTTATTAAAGCTTCTGGTATGTCATTGGCTGGAAGGAAGGCCAATGCAGGCAAATGACATATTTTTTTTTTCTTTTGAGACAGGTTCTTGCTCTGTCACCCAGGCTGGAGTGCTGTGGCTCCATCACGGCCCACTGAAGCCTTGACCTCCTGGGCTCCATTGATCCTCCTACCTCAGCCTCGAGTAGCTGGGATTACAGGCACACATCACCATGCCTGGCTAACTTGTATATTTTTGTAGAGATGGGGTTCTAGCCATGTTGCCCAGGCTGATCTCAAACTCCTGGGCTCAAGCATTCCTTCCGCCTTGACCTCTCAAATTGTTGGGATTACAGACTTGAGTCACTGCACCTGGCCCAAATGACACATTTTTAACTGAAGTTTTCATCTTGCAGTATCACATGGCCAATCCACTCACCTGAATTTTCTGCCAAATGCTTTGGGCTGAATGAAAAAAACAAACTTTATTGGTAACACCTTGAAATTCACTTTTAGAAGATTTGATTGCACTTAATTCCAAATCTGCCATTATAGTTTGGAGATTAAATTGAAATTCATTTTCTGCTCAGGGGCAGTGGTTCATGCCTATAATCCCAGCACTTTGGGAAGCCAAGACAGGTGGATCACTTGAGTCCAGGAGTTCAAGACCAGCCTGGGCAACATGGCTAACGTATTTTGTAGAGGATACAATTTTTTGTATCCTCTACAAAAAATACAAGAATTTAGCTGGGCATGATGGCCTGCCCCTGTAGTCCCAGCTACCCAGGAGGCTGAGGTGGGAGGATTGCTTGAGTCTAGGAGGTCTAGGCTGCAGTGAGCCAAGATCGCACCACTGTACTCCACTCCAGCCTGGGTGACAGAGGGGGACCCTGTCTCAAAAAAAAAAAAAAAAAAGGAAAAGGGAAAAGAAATCCATTTTCTTCTGTGAAGTCCACCAAATCTTTAAATAAGTGTTTACTTCACTTTTCCAGTCATTAATATGTAAGTAGGTGGATAAGTTTTAGTATTTTCTGATCCAACAGGGTCATGAATTGTATCTAGTTGATAAAAAACAATGGTGACAGTTTTGAAGTACCATCTATTAGCCAAAGTAAAACGTGTTAGTTTTTCTGTTAGATTCAGTGATAAATATAAAAAGTCTATCTTCTTTGACAGTCAAATCCCTAATCAAGAATAGTTCACCATTTCATGCATTTTGTAAGATGCGGAGGAACCTCAGTATCAGTTAGTGTCTTTGGTTTAGAAGGTTATTAAGGTTGTTAAATTCTTTTAATTCTCTGACAAAGGATATTTTTTGAAGGGAAGCATGGCACTATGTGTGAAGGGGCAGAAGTCATACACGATTGAATCATTTGACAAGGAAGATTTCTTCTATGTTCCACTTAGAGTTTCACTACTTCTATGATCGTTGAAATACTTGCTGCACTTGTATTTTGAGAGAGGTTGTGGTCTACACATTTCCTAACTATATGCTGTCCATTTGAAAGTCTGGTTATTGCTCAGTTGTTGCAATTAAGTGATTTTCTGCTTTCAAAGCACCAATTAGAATTAGCTTTTAAATTTTTATCTTTCAACATTAAGTAGCCTCATACACTTAACTTATCACAGCCTTATTTCAAGGGAACAGTTTCACAGATCTCTTCCATTGTGTTGTAAGGAATATAGTAAGAAGGAATGATACTCAGCTTCCCCATTACCAAATCTACATTAGTCAGGGTTCTCTAGACAGAACCAATAGGATCTGGATGTAGATATATGAAAGGTGATTTATTAGAGGAATTGGCTCATGCAATTATGGTGACTGAGGAATCCCACAACAGGCCATCTGCAAGCTGGAGACCTTGGGATCCTGATGGTGGGGCTAAGACCAAGTCCAAAGGCCACAGAACCAGACAAGCCGATGGTGTAACTCTCCATCAGAGGCTGAAGACCTCAGGGCCCAGGGGGCTGCTGGTATAAGTCCTGGAGCTCAAAGGCTGGCAAGCCTGGAGTTCTGATGTCCAAGGCAGCAGATGAAAAATCTGTCCCAGGTCTCAGAGAGAGTCCAATTTGCCTTCAGTATTTGTTTTCTTTGGTCCCCTCACCTATTGGATGATGTCCACCAACACTTCCCCACCTAATCCATTCAGGCTCACACTCTATCTCCTTTGGAAACACCCTCACAGATACACCCAAAATAATGCTTTACCAGGTTTCTAGGTATTCCTTAATCCAGTCAAACTGACACCTAAAATTAAGTCCACCAGTCCAATCCTTGTCAATTTGGCACCCATAGACATATCTTTAAACAAGACTTAATTTCCAAATAAAGACAATAGCATGTCTTTATTTGGTTTTAACATGTATGCAACTGTCCTGTGTTTGTGATTTTCAGGATTTTAGACATTAGGGATTTAGACTTTAGGGATTTTGATCTTTCAGGATTTCAATATTCAGGATTATGGCATTCAGGATTGTATCTTCTGGGATCATATTCCAACCCCCTACTAACTTTCTATTTTAAGATATCCTAGAAAGTGTAATCAACCAGAATCCTGGAGAAGTAAAAGCATGAAAGGAACCTAATGTGTGAGGGAAGTGGACCTGAGTGATACAAGGAATGAAGCATAGCAGACAACGCTGGTGTTCTGTCCAGATCTCCTGGGTTTCCTTCCATTGGTTCAGCATGGCCATTCTCCAGCTGCTGCAGGTTCTGTTGCTAACAGCTCACACCTGCAATAGTCTCAGGAGGATTGCCCTTGGCAGATTGAAGCAACACCACCAGGAGGTGTCTGGAAGTTATGCACTCATCTCTGTAACAGCCTGTAAACAATGACTGACTGATGCTTGATATGGAGGTACAAAAAAAGCCTCACTCCCTTGCCACCAGGTAGGAATGATCCCTCAGTATTTCGGAGCTCCTGGACATTTCAGGCTAATGCTATAGCTGAAACTATAGACTTGCTTCCCTTGACCTCTTCTGTTTTCCTCATTCCCCCACAGATTTCTCAGGTAATCATGCAATTTCTCTCTTAATAAAATGCTTGATTATCTCTGTCCTGCTTTTGTAAAGTTCATTCAGTAATTTCTCCCTAATATCTAAAATTGGAATTCTTAGTTCATAATTCTGAGCCTTTTTGCTTATTTGAGAATATGTAATGATCCATTTTGCTCAAAGGGAGACTTTAGCAACATTCTTCATCATTCAGTTCTAAGAATTAATTTCCATTATGAATTTTTTGGCCCACAAATACACTTAAAAATTTCTAAACACCCATGGGGGGATTTCTATTTGTCGTTTTGTTACTGATTTTTAAACTTACTTTTATGGCTGTCAGATAAGTATTTTGTATGATACTAATTAAAAACATTTATTAAGTTGTATGCATTGCCACAAATATTTTGTTTTGGAAAAGAATGTATATTCTGCAGCTGTTGAATACGGTTTTCATTAAACTTGTTAATTGTGTTGCTCAGATTCTCTACATTCTTGTGTTTTTTTTTTGTCTCTTTGATTTCTTATGTGGAATTAGTTAAAATCTTCCTCTGTGATGGTAAATTTGTCTCTATATTTTGAACTGTTATTAAATGTATAGACGTTTAGAATTGTTATATTTTCCTAATGGATTAAAGCTGTTATCATTATACAGTGACCATCTATATTTCTAGAAGTGCTTTTTGCTTTAAAGTTTATTTTTTTGTCTGATATTAGCATAGCTACACCATATTTCTTTGTTTAGTATTTTCCTAATCTATTTTTCCCATGCTTTGACTTTCATGCTTCCCATGTCCCTATGTTATAGTTTTATAGGTGAGGCACTTACAAAGAGCATAGAGTTGTATTATTTTTAATCCAGTCTGACATCTTTGACTTCTAATTGGATAGTTTAGACAATTTCTATTAAGATACGTTTTATATTTGGTATGGTAGAAATTTTTATTATCAAAATATTCACTGACCCTTCCTAGCAAGGACTGCCTCTTCCATGCTGAAAAGTATATTCTCTGCTATATCCCTGCTAAAGTATAAATTTCCAGCTCCATTAACATGTAAACCCATTAATAGGCTTGACCATGTGATTTTTTTTAACCAATTAAAACTGAGTAGAAGTAAATGTGCCACTTCTGAGTAGGGCTTTTTTGTTTTGTTTTGAGATGGAGTCTCACTCTGTTCTGCAGGCTGGAGTGCAGTGGTGTGATCTTGGCTCACTGCACTGCAGAAGAAGGGATTCTTCTGCCTCAGCCTCCCGAGTAGCTGGGATTACAGGTGCCTACCACCACACCCGGCTAATTTTTGTAGTTTTAGTAAAGATGAGGTTTCACCTTGTTGGCCAGGCTGGTCTCGAACTCCTGACCTCAGGTGATCTGCACGCCCCAGCCTCCCAAAGTGCTGAGATTACAGGCGTGAGCCACCATGCCTGGCCTGACTAGAGGCTTTTGAATCAACATTCAAAAGCTGAGTTGTTCTCTGCCACAATACCTGCAGTATTCCACACTGAGGCTGCTCTTTCGTTGTGTCCCAGATTGAATAGCTAAAGCTAACTGAAGACTACCGTGTGATGTGAGAAATAAACCCTGGATTCCATAAGTCACTGATATTTGCAGATGACTTATGATTCTGACCTTATAAAGTCAGGATAATATATTTAAATGTATTTCTACCATATTATTTGCTGTTCTTTGTATATTGCTTCCTGCATTCATTTTCTTCTATTGTGCCTTCTTGATTGCTCTTTAAATTTTTAAATTCCTTTTCTTCTCTAAGCATTTGGAATTATGTTCTATATCCTTTTAAGTTACTTCCCTATGTATTTTAACTTGTATACCAGTATTTATTAGGATAAGCTATATTATTCACTGGGAATACACAATTTCAAATTCTCAGTAGCTTAGACCAACAAAGTTCCCATTTTTCCTCTATAATATATAGGCGGATGGAGGATCCAGCATGTGGGAGCATCACCAGTTGTAGTAGCAGAAAGAGAGAACAGAGTTTGCAGTGGCACTTAAGTGTGTCTGCCTAGAAGAGACTTGGGTCACTTCTGCTCAAATTTCATTGAACAAAAGTTCCATGATCACACCCAAATTCATGGGAGCCAGGGAAGTTCAATCTTCTTGTGTGAGTGGAAGGGGAAGAAAACTTGAAATATTGGTGAAAAGATGTAATGTCTACCACAGAAGATGCCATTCTGCTCACCAAAGTTTTGAGTCACCTTCTCCCATGCAGAACACTCACCTCGAAAAAGGCAACCCAAAAGTCCCATCTAGATAGAAAGTTTAGCTTTGCGTCAGGTTTCCTCTGTATTTTGGAGAAATATAGAGGATGCACAACAGTCTCTACATCAGATCTTGATATGGTGTGTGTTTGTTTTTTGAGACAAGGTCTCACTTTGTCACTCAGGCTGGAGTGCAGTGACATGATCATGGCTCACTGCAGCCTAGATCCTCCCACCTCAGCCTCCTGAGTAGCTGGGACTACATGCATGAGCCACTATGTCTGGCTAATTCACTTTTTTTTTTTTTTTTAAAGAGATGGGGTCTTGCTATGTTGCCCAGGCTGGTCTCAAACTCATGGGCTCAAGCAATCTTCCCACCTTGGTCTCCCAAAGTGTTAAGATTATAGGTGTGACCCACCTCGCTTGGCCTGGTTACTCTTGATATAAGCCTGTTGGGCCAAAAAGACAAATTGGATTCATTACAAGCACCCAATGTACAATGACAAAACAAGTACAACATAACCAGAAAAACACTTCCACTTGGAAAAGAAAAACTCCATGATATAACAATCGCTGGTCCATAACAATTGAAATTCCAGTTGGTGAGTATTGTTAAGGCCTCTATCCTTGCAGGGATGGGAAGTTTATGTGAATATTCCTTGATTAAATCTACTCTCTAGTGGGTGGAGGGACTTATTTTTCCATTATTCTCTGTGGCCCTGACTCTACATTCTGAAAAGTTATTCCTTTTTCATTATCCTTGTTGGCCACATCTGAAATAGAGGAAAACAGAGCTACTTGTGGGCTAAGCAGCCTTCTCAGCTATTAGATGTCACCGGGAAAGACACACACTTTAGAGCTCTTTACCCTGAGCTGTTTTATTGAATGAAGCAGTTTGTTAGGTACCACACCCTCAACTTTGGCTTTTTGCCCTGTATATTAGCCTGTTTTCATGCTGCTGATAAAGACATATCTGAAACTGGGAACAAAAATAGGTTTAATTGGACTTACATTTCCACATGGCTGGGGAGGCCTCAGAATCATGGTGGGAGGTGAAAGGTACTTCTTATGCGCCAGCAGCAAGACAAAAATGGGGAAGAAGCAAAGGCAGAAACCCCTGATAAACCCATCAGATCTTGTAAGACTTAATCACTATCACAAGAATAGCAAGGGACAACACGTGGGATTCTGAGAGATAGAATTCAAGTTGAGATTTCGATGGGGACACAACCAAACCATATTATTCTGCCCCCGCCCCCCTCCAAATCTCATGTCCTCACATTTTAAAACCAATCATGCCTTCCTAACAGTCTCCCAAATTCCTAACTCATTTCAGCATTAACTCAAAAGTCCACAGTCCAACGTCTCATCCAAGACAAGAAAAGTCCCTTCTGCCTATGAGCCTGTAAAATCGAAAGCAGGCTAGTTACTTCCTAGATACAACGGGGGTACAGGTATTGGGTAAATACGACCATTTCAAATGGGAGAAATTGGCCAAAACAAAGGGGTTATAGGGCCCATGCAAGTCTAAAATCCAGTGGGGCAGTCAAATTTTATTTTGTTTTGTTCTTTTTTTGTTTTTGAGACGGAGTCTCGCACTTTCGCCCAGGTTGGAGTGCAGTGGCGCGATCTCGGCTCACTGCAACCTCAGCCTCCCAGGTTCACGCCATTCTCCTGCTTCAGCCTCCCGAGTAGCTGGGACTACAGACGCCGGCTAATTTTTTGTATTTTTAGTAGAGATGGGGTTTCACCGTTGTAGCCAGGATGGTCTCGATCTCCTGACCTCATGATCTGCCTGCCTCGGCCTCCCAAAGTGCTGGGATTACAGGCATGAGCCACCTCGCCTGGCCTGGGGCAGTCAAATTTTAAAGCTCCAAAATGACCTCCTTTGACTCCATGTTTCACATCCAGGTCACACTGATGCAAGAGGTGGGTTCCCATGGTCTTGGGCAGCTCTGCTCCTGTGGCTTTGCAAGGTACGGCCTTCCTCCCAGCTGCTTTCATGGGCTGACATTGAGTGTCTGCAGCTTTCTAGGTGCACAGTGCAAGCTGTCCGTGGATCTACCATTCTGGGGTCTGGAGGACGGTGGCCCTCTTCTCACAGTTCCACTAGAGTGCCCCAGTAGGGACTCTGTGTGGAGGCTCCAACCGTACATTTCCCTTCCAGACTGCCCTAGCAGAGGTTCTCCATAAGAGCCCTGCCCCTGCAGCAAACTTTTGCCTGGGTATCCAGGCATTTCCATACATCTTTTGAAATCTAGGCAGAAGTTCCCAAACCTCAATTCTTGACTTCTGTGCACCTGCAGGCTCAACACCATGTGGAAGCTGTCAAGACTTGGGGCTTCTGTCCTCTGCAGCCACAGCCCGAGCTGTACGTTGGTCCCTTTCAGCCACGGCTGGAGTGGCTGGGACACAGGGCACCAAGTCCCTAGGCTGCACACAGCACAGGGACCCTGGGCTCGGCCCACAAAACCACTTTTTCCTCCTGGGACTCTGGGTCTATGATGGGAGGGGGTGCCATGAAGGTCTCTGACATGGCCTGGAGACATTTTCCCCATGGTTGTGGGAATTAACATTAGGTTCCTTGCTGCTTGCACAAATTTCTGCAGCTGGCTTGAATTTCTCCCCAGAAAATGGGTTTTTCTTTTCTTGTGCGTAGTCAGGCTGCAAGTTTCCCAAACTTTTATGCTCTGCTTCCCTTATAAAACTGAATTCCTTTAACAGCACCCAAGTCACCTTTTGAATGCTTTGCTGCTGAGAAATTTCTTCTGCCAGATACCCTAAATCACCTTTCTCAAGTTCAAAGTTCCATAAATCTCTAGGGCAGGGGCAAAATGCTGCCAGTCTCTTTGCTAAAACATAACAGGAGTCACCTTTGCTCCAGTTCCCAACAAGTTCCTCATCTCCATCTGAGACCACCTCAGTCTGGACTTTACTGTCCATATTGCTATCAGCATTTTGGGCAAAGCCATTCAACAAGTTTCTAGGGAGTTCCACACTTTCCCACATTTTCCTAACTTCTTCTGAGCCCTCCAAACTGTTCCAACCTCTGCCTGCTACCCAGGTCCAAAGTTGCTTCCACATTTTCAGGTATCTTTTCAGCAATGCCCTACTCTACTGGTATCAATTTACTGTATTAGTCCATTTTCACACTGCTGTAAAGACATAACTGAAACTGGGAACAAAAAGAGATTTAATTGGAGTTAGAGTTCCACATGTTCCACCTCAGAACCATGGCAGGAGGGGAAAGGCACTTCTTACATGGTGGCAGCAAGAGAAAAATGAGGAAGAAGCAAAAACGGAAACCCCTGATAAACCCACCAGACCTTGTGAGACTTAATTACTATCATGAGAATAGCACAGGAAAGACTGGATCCCATGATTCAATTACCTATCCCTGGGTCCCTCCTACAATATGTGGGAATTCTGGGAGATACAATTCAAGTTGAGATTTGGATGAGGACACAGCCAAACCATCCTCACCCTGAGATCCCTCCTTAATCCATCTGGTGGTTCTCACAAGGGTATAATGTCTATACTGCTTGACCTCTGCCTTAAGGCTGAGTTGTAATCGGCCTTTGCTTCTCAAAGATTTTCTTACATTTACCTTTTACTTTTTGGGGTGGTGAACTAGTTTTCTATTCTTGAAAGCTCATGGAGTTTGTATTCTATTTGCTTTTATTCCTGTTTGCAAACAAATTCCTTACAGAACTTGGAAATGGCCAAATGCAGCCAACAACAATGCTTCTTTCTCATTTTTCTCTTGCTGCCACCATGTAAGAAGTGCCTTTCTCCTCCCGCCATGATTCTGAGGTGGAACACATGGAACTCTAACTCCAATTACATCTCTTTTTGTTCCTAACACTCACTAGTAAAGTTTTTTTTCCATTCTGTTTCTCTAGAGCTACATATATCTTTATTGGATACATAGTATGACTCCCAAGTTATTTTGGCATTACATCTTTCTCACCTTCAATATGCATTTCTTCACTGCTTCCCTTACCAATGCTTGTTTCTGTTGGGATAAGGCAAGTCATACTGTCACACAAATAACTCTGAGTTTTCAGAAGGAATTAGATTTCACCCAAGATTTCACTCCGGATTACAGGCTATGAAGGTTCAACAGGAATAGTGCCAGGCTCTGGTAAATGTGGCAGTGAAAGAGAATGGTTACTCAAACTAGGTCTTAAAATACTCTCTGGCAAGTGACACTTTCAGATCAAAGCTAGTTTTTAGGCAAGGCTAACTTCCAAGTAGGCAAGGAGGTCCAGAACCCTGCATGCCCCAAAGGAGAAGAGAACCATAAATACTGAAGGGTAACGTTAACATCTGCAACAACGTTAATATCTTTAGCCACTTTAAAAATAATATAAGTACATTAAAAGATTTTAATTCTGATTTATCCTAACTTACATAAAGGTTTCTCAGGATATTAGTTTTATCTTTCCAATTTTTTACCCCCCTATTAGATATTATTAATATTATTGTCTTCTACAGCCAATCTTTATTTAGATTGATTCAGGTGTTTACCATTTTCTTTTTTTTTTTTTTTTTGAGACAGAGTCTCACTCTGTTACCCAGGCTGGAGTGCAGTGGTGCGACCTTGGCTCACTGCAACCTCCGCCTACCGGGTTCAAGCAATTCTCCTGCCTCGGCCTCCCAAGTAGGTGGGATTACAGGTGCCTGCCACCATGCCCAGCTAATTTTTGTATTTTTAGTAAAGACAGGGTTTCACCATGTTGGCCAGGCTGGTCTTGAACTCCTGACCTCAAGTGATCCACCCACCTCAGCCTCCCAAAGTGCTGAGATTACAGGCATGAGCCACTGCACCAGGCCATGTTTACTACTTTCTTCCTTCTCCAATATTACATCATAATGGGTTTAATTTTGTGTGTGTGTGAAATATACCCTTTAGAATCCTTTCACTGATAGTCTGTTGGTAGTAAATTGTTTATTTTTGTTTGTCTGAAAAGGTTTTATTTCACCACCTTTTCCTTTTTTAAAGTGAGGGTTTATTTTCCTAGGCACTCAATTCTAGGCTTGCATTTCAGATTTTGAAAGTATGATTTTACTGTCTTGACAGTACCATTGTTGTTGAGAATTCAGCTGTAAAATTAACATTTATCTAATCTTCCTTTCCTGCGAGCCTCTTTTCTTTGCTTTTCTGTAGTGCACTATAATTTGTTTGGGTATAGAAGATCTTTAATTTATCCATTTTGGGGTTTGGAAACCTTAAATCTGTAGGATCTTGTCTCTCATCAATCTGGAAAACTTTCAGACTTCATATCTAGGATTATTGCCTTTGTCAATTCTGTGCTGAAACTTTGATTAGATGTAAGATAGATCTTACTCTAATGTCTAGGGATTTTTCACCTATCTTGCGTTATTTATCTCTTTGCCTGCTTTTTCTCTATACTGTATAATTTCCTTAGAACTATGTGTCAGGGCCGGGCATGGTGGCTCATACCTGTAATCTCAGCACTTTGGGAGACCAAGGCGAGTGGATCACTTGAGGTCAGGAGTTTGAGACCAGCCTGGCCAACATGATGAAACCCCATCTCTACTAAAAATACAAAAACTAGCTGGGCATGGTGGCACACAACTGTAATCCCAGCTACTCGGGAGGCTGAGGCATGAGAATCGTTTGAACCCGAGAGGCAGAGGTTGCAGTGAGCTGAGATCATGCCAATGCACTTCAGCCTGGGCGACAGCGTGAGACTCCGTCTCAAGAAAAAAAGAAGAACTATGTGTCAGTTTACTAATTTTGTTTTTAGTTGTATATAATCTGCCATTACACATTTTCATTTTTTGTTTCTATGTATATTGAATGTATATATATTTATATATTATTTAAATGTACACATTGATTATATATGTACAATTCAAGTTCTATTTGATTTTCAAAAAAACTGTCTAGCCATTGTTATTGTTTGTTACTAATAACCTCCAATACTCTCTTGTTGAAATTATAAAACATATTTTTATAATATTCTATCTGATAATAGGGGCAGCAGAATTATTTGTAAGTTTCATTCTGCTATTGTTTTTATTGTTGACTTATCAATGGGACTTTGTTTCCTTCTGTATTTTGTAATATTCAAAAACTCGTGGGAATTTTATGAGGCCTAAGTTGAAAATGTATTTTTCCAGAGAGAGTTTGCATGTTTTTACGTCCATGCTTTGAAAATATCACAACTCAATATCCCTTCAAAATAGATATTGCTCAAAGTTTTTGGTGCCATATAAGTGGTATCAATTTATTCCCCTAAATGGCACAAAGTCTAGCTTATACGTGTAGGGAAACACAGGCAATTTGTCTCCTCTTCTCCCACCATCAAAGGTAAAAGGTGGTTTTCCTTGTTATCTTCATCTGTAGGTTATATTTTCTTTTCATTTACCCTGTTTTTGTCCTATGGCTCTCCTAACAACATCTCCTCCTTGGCAAAGCTGAGACATTGCCTACTGTTCCCATCATTTTATGCAGCCATCAAAATATAAGCTCAATTTCACCAGGGAGGGACAGATGCCTCAGAGAAGGTACCAACTTCAGGGTCGCTTTCCTTTCTGGGTTCCTGCTTTTATTCCATTTTTGGTCTTCGAGAATTTCCCTTACCTTATCATAGCACATAATTTTTTTCACCCTCCCAATATTTTATATTAAAATTGAATTAAAATATTGGGAGGGTGAAAAAAATTCATGTAGAATTTTGAATTATTTTGCTGCGTGAGCTAGGAACTGGACATGTTGTCTGCCATAGTGCCAAATATGGAAGTCCAGTTTTCCAAATTTTGTTTTTTCTTATCATTTATTCTGTTATTTTTAAACAACTACACTAGAAAGACCATTAGAGAGCTGGTGTTTGTTTCACAGAGCTTTAAACTACACTGATCTATCCAGGAATAGATCTGGCTTTGATCCTTTAAGAAGAATCTCTAGCATTTCCTGTTCTAAGCAATTACCTTGACCCTCTATTACTTTGTCCATTTCCTTGTTTTTGCCCCCACTTGAATCTAGATTGTACTCAAGAGTCTGACCTTTGTCTTTTTCATTATAAACCAAAAATTGACCAGAGTTGAACACAAATGTAGCTTTCTGAGTTTTCATATTTTGATACTTCCTAGAATTTGCCTTTGCTGACATCATTGATGTTTCTGCTTTTTACATTCAAAACTAAGCATTCCACTTGAGCAGATCCTGCACCAATCATCCTACTCTGTTATTAGCCACCTGACCTGTGCCCTAGAAAAGCCTTCTCCACTCAAGAGAAGTCAGAAAAACACCACTAGTTTGACCTGTAACCAGTCTTCTGACAGTGATCAAATTTTAGTATCCAAAGCCCAATACACTTTAAGAATGTTTATTTTACTATTAGCAATATTAGTATTAATATTATGACATCTCTTATTATGTACTATATATTGATCTATTCATATTCCTACTTCCTATTCCACAAGTGTCCTCAACCTCTTATTTTAAGTGGCTTCTTTTTCGTTCTTCTTTTGCGACACAGTCTTGCTCTGTCACCCAGGCTGGAGTGCAGTGGCACGATCCCGACTCACTGCAACCTCCGCCTCCCAGATTCAAGTGATTTTCTTGCCTCAGCCTCCGGAGCAGCTGGGATTACAGGCACGCGCCACCACACCCGGCTAGTTTTTGTATTTTTAGTAGAGACGGGATTTCTCCATGTTTGCCAGGCTGGTCATAAACTCCTGACCTCAGGTGATCCACCCACCTCGGCCTCCCAAAGTGCTGGGATTACAGGCTTGAGACACTGCCCGGCCCTCAGTGGCGTCTCTATAGGTGATTTTTACTTGCACAGATTTTACAGACTTTAGCATTGCAGTTTGTGTCGGTGTTTCTCACATGGTACACAGTTCCAAGGAAACATCTTCTCTTTGTGTGCATGTTTTTCTCTTAATAAAATACTATGGACGGAGGAATGCAGTGCTCCTATCAGATGGGCTTATGCCATATGACAACTGCTAAGCCAGGAAAGGGTTTAGCTTTATACAAGGCAAAAACCTGAGTGGAAGAAGCCATGGTGCTCGGATCAAAATAAGAAAAAATAGGTCCAGGATAAACAAAAAGTTTTTTTTTAACTATCATTTTTCATTGCCCTTTGAACAAAGTCTAGCTACAAAAGGATTCAGTAGAAAATGTCTCCTCACCCTAAAAGCCTCCAGGGCTTGAACTTTTATTTCCTACCTTGAAGCAGTTGATTGGATTTTATTTATATATATATATATTTATTATCATTTTTGACAGTCTTTTTCTGTCACCCAGGCTGGAGTACAGTGGCACGATCTCGGCTCACTACAAGCTCGGCCTCCCGGGTTCACGCCATCCTCCTGCCTCAGCTTCCCGAGTAGCTGGGACTACAGGCGCGCACGGCCACACCCAGCTAATTTTTGTATTTTTAGTAGAGACGGGGTTTCACCATGTTGGCCAGGATGGTCTCTATCTACTGACCTCGTGATCCGCGTGCCTCAGCCTCCCTAAGTGCTGGAATTACAGGCTTGAGTCACCGTGCCCGGCCAATTGGTTGGATTTATAGATGTCCTCCCCTCCCTTTGTGATTTAGACAGCTTGGACCTTAAATACCTGAGGGGTAGCCAAGGCACCTGTTGCCTAGAAACTTAGTAGAGTCTCCACCTCTCCCCAGGCCTAATTCCATTTCTTGGGATCGTCCATTCTCTGACTCACGACAGGGTATAGGAGGCCTAACCAATTATGAGCACAAAGGAGAGATTAAGTGAACCAGTAAGTGTTTAGTCCAAGTGGGCCTGGATTCAGTTTGCCAATCCTACCACATGGGGACGATAGGAAGCAAGAGGGGTAGTTACAATATGCCTTTCTAATACGCAATGACTGCCAACGGTAGCCCAGACAGTATTCCAGAAGTTGACAAAACATAGACGCTCCTCCTTGGGATTGAAATGTATGGGGGTGGGGGGAAGAGCGAGAAGGGAGAGTGAAAGAAGAGGATAGAGATTTTCTTTCTACTTCAAAATACATCTTTCCAGTCACTTTGGTAAGCATAAGGGATAACGTAATGTTTAGTAGTTTTTTTTACTTGAATCTATTTTCTACGTCCTGAAATGTTTGATAACATAGAAATTTTAAATTACTGGATAAAATTCCGCTCAAAGGGTATACTATTATATATCTAATTAAAACACTTAGGTGCTTATCTATGATGTGAACACTTGATAGTTTATTTTCAATCTTCGTCAATTTGACTTATATATTTCTAAAATTGTAGTGATTTTGAATACTTTATTGACATATTTATTGCCTTTCTTTTTTTGAATTTCCATGAGTATCCTTGATCCAGAAACACTTACTTTTTCTGAGTCATTTTGCTCCAATTTGGATATATAGCACCCCATCACCCCGTCTTAACCCCCCAGGATGAGAAAGCATTCGCAAAAGAGGAATTTGTCTCATTGCATTTTTGAAAAGGCACTTCCTTTTCTTATGGCGCATTTTGTTCAAGCTTTCTTTTCTTCTCCCACCTCATAATCCTCCTGGCTCTCTCTTCTCTTTCCGCCTCACAGGGCTGCCCTTGTGAAAAGTTTGTGGAAACATCTAGGTCAGACCCATTCAGAGTCCTCCCAACAGGAAATTGAGCCCAGCACTCTACTATGAAAGGTGACCACCTGACAAAGCATCCTCTTCTGTTCTTTCCAGGTCCCCTGGTTTGTGATGCAGAGTCCTTCATTCAGTTTCCAGTGCAACCCTTTCTGATGAATTCACCCCAGAGTCACTTTTACTATCATGGGATCCATCATATTAAAACGGCACTTAGGAGCTGGGTGAGGCAGTGAGGAGGACAATGGAAAGACTGAGCAGCAAGAAGAGAGGAGGGTGAGGTGGGAACCCACATGGCTGAGTGGAAAAAGTTAACTGAACTGCCTTGGAAATAGGCTCCACATATTTTTGGATCAAGCCTTAGTGTTCTATCTCGTGTGTTTGACAGAGCGGATTATGTTTTAACTTTTCTTCCTCTACCTGACAAAGTTATTTTGAGGAATAATCATGAAATGAAACAAATAATTAATGGCCAGGAAACTTTAAGTAGTGAACATTTTCTTTCACTAACCCTTATATGGTCATGTCAGTAAAAATAAATAAATGAAAATAAACATGCCATTTCAGATTAGGAAGAGTGAATTTTTTTCATTGACCTTTCCATATACAATCATACCACTGCAAAAGTTTTTAAAAATAAAAAGTAAAATGAATAAGAATAGTACCAAATAGGGTAGTGAAAAGGTAATAAATTCTTATTAAATATATTAATATATATTTTTAAAAGACATAGGAAAACTTACTTCATATTGTGTCCGGAATTGGTGGCTTCTTGGTCTCACTGACTTCAAGAATGAAGCCGCGAACCCTGGTGGTGAGTGTTACAGTTCTTAAAGGCGGTGTGTGCAGAGTTTGTTCCTTCTGATGTTTGGATGTGTTTGGAGTTTCTTCCTTCCGAGGTTCGGATGTGTTCGGAGTTTCTTCCTTCTGGTGGGTTCGTGGTCTCGCTGGCTCAGGAGTGAGGCTGCAGACCTTCGCGGTGAGCGTTACAGCTCTTAAGGCGGCGCATCTGGAGTTGTTCATTCCTCCTGCTGGGTTCGTGGTCTCTCTGGCTTCAGGAGTGAAGCTGCAGACCTTGCGGTGAGTGTTAACAGCTCTTAAGGCAGCGCGTCTGGAGTTGTTCGTTCCTCCTGCTGGGTTCGTGGTCTCACTGGCTTCAGGAATGAAGCTGTAAGACCTTTATGGTGAGTGTTACAGCTTATAGAGGTAGCGTGGACCCAAACAGTTAGCAGCAGCAAGATTTATTGCAGAGTAAAAGAGCAAAGCTTCCACAGTACAGAAGGAGACAGGGAAGCATTGCCACCGCCAGCTCAGGCAGCCTGCTTTTATTCTCTTATCTGGTCCCACCCACATCCTGCTGATTGGTCCATTTTACAGAGAGCTGATTGGTCTGTTTTAACAGGGTGCTGATTGGTGCTTTACAATCCCTGAGCTAGACACAAAAGTTCTCCACCTCCCCACTAGATTAGCTAGATGCAGTGTCCATTGGTGCATTCACAAACCCTGAGCTAGACACAGGGTGCTGATTGGTGTGTTTACAAAACTTGAGCTAGATACAGAGTGCTGACTGGTGTATTTACAATCCCTTACCTAGACATAAAGATACTTCAAGTCCCCACCATACTCAGGAGCCCAGCTGGCTTCACGCAGTGGATCCCGCACAGGGGCCGCAGGTGGAGCTGCCTGCCAGTCCCGCGCCATGCGCCAGCAGTCCTCAGCCTTCGGGCGGTCTATGGGACTGGGCGCCCTGGAGCAGGGGGCGGTGCTCGTCGAGGAGGCTCGGGCGGCGCAGGAGTCCACAGCAGTGGGCTGGGGGTGGCGGGGAGGGGGTGGGGGCTCAGGCATGGCGGGCGGGGAGGGGGTGGGGGCTCAGGCATGGCGGGCGGGCAGGGGGCGGGAGCTCAGGCATGGCGGGCGGCGGGCGGCGGGCGGCGGGCGGCGGGCGGCGGGCGGCGGGCGGCGGGCGGCGGGCGGCGGGCGGCGGGCGGCCAGGCATGGCTAGCTGCCCGTCCCAAACCCTGCTCGTGGAGAGGCAGCTAAGGCCCGGTGAGAAATCGAGCACAGCAGCTGCTGGCCCAGGTGCTAAGCTCCTCACTGCCCTGGGCTTGTGGGCTGGCCGGCCGCCAGCGGGGCCTGCCGAGCCCACGCCTACCCGGAACTCGCACTGGCCGGCAAACGCCGCGCACAGCCCCGGTTCCTGCCCGCGCCTCTCCCTCCACACCTCCCCGCAAGCTGAGCGAGCCGGCTCCGGCCTTGGCCAGCCCAGAAGGGGGCTACCACAGTGCAGTGGTGGGCTGAAGGGCTCCTCAAGCGTGGGCAGAGTGGGCGCCAAGGCCGAGGAAGCACCGAGAGCAAGGGCTGTGAGGCTGCCAGCATGCTGTCACCTCTCTATATTGGCCTATCATATAAATAAATCACAACATTACAGTTTCTGTTCTTGAGTTTTAACTTCCACAAATTTGTCCATGACTTCAACAAAATTGATCTTCACATACCTGTGCTTGAAGGAGCGCTCGCAGGAAAATAATTTATCCATTAATTTTTTATTTATTTTAACTTAAAAAGTTTTGCTAACATGAAGATTGAAGATAATAAAACGGTTAAGAAAAGCTTTAAACAAAGGATAAGCAGACATTCATAAGAATCTAATTTCACAATAAAAATGAAAAATTTCAAACTGTCCATGTCTTTATTTTTTCGGTATCAACTCTACCAGTTTTGAAATATGTCTATAATCTAAAATTCTAAACACGAATAAAAATTTTATCACAAAGAATGACAGAATTGAAGTAACTCAAGTTTTATTTCTTTGTCTTTATAATCATTGTGCTACAATTGTTTTTTATTTTTTATTTTTATTTATTTTTTAAATTTTATTTTATTATTATACTTTAAGTTCTGAGATACATGTGCAGAATGTGCAGGTTTGTTACATGGGTATACATGTGCCATGGTGGTTTGCTGCACCCATCAACCCATCATCTACGTTAGGTATTTCTCCTAATGCTATCCCTCCCCTAGCCCCCAACCCCCTGACAGGTCCTGTTGTATGACGTTCCCCTTCCTGTGTCCATGTGTTCTCATTGTTCAACTCCCACTTATGAGTGAGAACATGCAGTGTTTGTTTTTCTGTTCTTGTGTTAGTTTGCTGAGAACGATGGTTTCCAGCTTCATCCGAGTCCCTGCAAAGGACATGAACTCATCCTTTTTTATGGCTGCATAGTATTCCATGGTGTATATGTGCCACATTTTCTTTATTCAGTCTATCATTGATGGGCATTTGGGTTGGTTACAAGTCTTTGCTATTGTGAACAGTGCTGCAATAAACATCCGTGTGTATGTGTCTTTATAGTAGAATTATTTATAATCCTTTGGGTATATACCCAGTAGTTGGATTGCTGGGTCAGATGGTATTTCTGCTTCTAGGTCCTTGAGGAGTTACCACACTGTCTTCCACAATGATTGAACTAATTTACACTCCCACCAACAGTGTAAAAGTGTTCCTATTTCTCTACATCCTCTCCAGCATCTAAAGCTCACATATAAAACAGAAAATAGCAAGGACATAAATTTTGTCACACAAAAATGTGTTGCATGTTATAGTTATAAGAGAGTTATAGGATGTTTATGTTTTCTGGATTATTTAGGAAAGATTTGATAATGGAAGTGGAATTTGATCTTGCCCTAGAAAGTTACTATAATTCAGTTCAGTGGGAAAAGTGATTAGACAGTCTAGACCAATGCAATGGCACCAGCAAAATTACAAACCTATGCTGTCAGGGGACATAGACTGGAGGTGAGGAGACAACCCAATTCCAATCATATGGAATTTGGAAATAAGTATAGAAATGGTCAGATAAGAGCGAGATATTCTTGAGAGCCTATTATTATTTCTCTAAGAAGATAAAGATCCTCGTTGCTAAGCAGCTAAATCTACAATTTAGTCACCTGAGAGACAAAAGGGGGAAGGGCTTACGTTTCTCTTTGTTCTGTGGTCACAGCTACACACCTTTGTTCATTGATAAAGGGTGGTACAAACCATCTAGACGGAAAGGGCCATGGAAACTACTGTTTCTTCTGATGGTAAGTCATTCATCAAGTTTCGTTTCAGTTTGATTGGGACTGAGGGGATTGCTGGGTGCAGGACTTTTAGTTTTAAAACCAGGACAGTCCTGGGAAAATCAGAATGAGGTGGTTACCCCAATTGCCAGTAAGGAATAGGTAAAGTAGTAGAAGATGAAGATACAGTTGAGTGTGGGGAAAATTGATAGAAACAGTCCTCAAGTATGTGGGAGAGATGACTGGAACCATGAGGGGCTACTACCTGAATCGGGGAGGATCACATTTCCACTGAGACTGGAGAGGGAGTGAGGTAAAGAAGAGGCAAATATAGGTGGTTTCAGATGGTGAAAGGCCCAGAAACCATTTTGTCTTTGAATTTGGAATATATATATATAAATTCCAGAGAAAGAAATCCATTTTATATTGTGACATTGTGGCCTTAAACGTACTTACACCCCAATTTTTGGCACTGTGTGTGCAAGAGTTGCTAAGAATCTTCTAGGGATGCCTTCTGATATTTCTCTTCTATTTCCTTAAGGAAAAAAACTGCAGGCGGCCGGGCACAGTGGCTCATGCCTGTAATCCCAGCACTTTGGTAGGCCGAGGCGGGCAGATCACAAGGTCAGGAGATCGAGATCATCCTGGCTAACACAGTGAAACCCCGTCTCTGCTGAAAAAAAAAAATTAGCCGGGCATGGTGGCGGGCACCTGTAGTCCCAGCTACTCAGGTGGCTGAGGCAGGAGAATTGCGTGAACCCCGGAGGCCCAGCTTGCAGTGAGCCAGGATCGCCACTGCACTCCAGCCTGGGCGACAGAGCAAGACTCCGTCTCAAAAAAAAAAAAATTAAAAAAACCCAAAAACTGCAGGCTGTAACCAGCTGAATTACTTCCATGACTCTCTACTGGGTCAGGTATTAGTGACAGACAGATAGGAAAACAATGCATTAGGGCATTGGAATAAGAGGGAAGATGGGTAGAGAGGGGTCTTGATGAATTCGAAATAGCTGTGGGGAAAGTAAGAGTTTATCAAACATGCAGAAGAGGACTGTTGGCTCACTTGACAGTCCACTGACGTTAGAGGACATAGATTTACGGTGGTACCACTTCACAGTATCCATGGTAGAATGATGGTACTTCAGGAGCTTTGGTCTCTGTAAGTCCTAGGAATGAAGACAATGAGTCTGGTTTTAAAGATTTTTTTGAAGTTATTCTCCTGTTATTGCCTGCTCTCATGCTGAGCTCCAAGAAAAAGAATAATATGACACAGGTTTGTGTAGCTTATCAGTCCTTTCCACAACATTATATCTTTGATTAGTTCTTCCCATTTTCAATCCTCCCATCCACAACAACTGTCACTCCATAATAAGTAGAAAACATATCAAGAGAGACACAGGGAGCAAATCTGGCAGTTAGAATTTCATCCCAATTCAGAGATCTTTGTTCTTGGAAGTTCTGTCTATGAACTTTGCTTTTCTCTTCCACGCTACTTGCACCTTGCGAAATAAGGTGCCTAACTTGCAGCAGTGAAAACTGCCCAGATGAATCCAGCCTCTTTAGGCAAGCTAATGGCAAGGATAATGTTCAGCTTGAAACAAGTTTTCCCCATCTTCCAGCATCCACATAGCCAGTCTAGGACAAGAAAAGAAAAAAACCTTAAATACTTTTTATTAGAAAGGAAAGGTACTTGTTTAACTAACTCTACTGTGATTGAAAGACAATGAGAATGGATTTTCAGCTACTGGCACTATACATAAATGAGGAAAACTCAGAACATTGAGGAAACTCAGAACACGATACATAAACGAGGAATGCAATGCCCAGGAGAATAAAGAAAAGGGCAATATGGCATAGGAAGTTTTGACATA
Source organism: Homo sapiens (assembly GCF_000001405.40). Lineage (NCBI taxonomy): Eukaryota > Metazoa > Chordata > Mammalia > Primates > Hominidae > Homo > Homo sapiens. Next base: position 70,251,005 of record NC_000014.9, on the reverse strand, counting down.
TCTGTTGAATTTTATATCTCTATTCCTTAGGCTGGGGATCCAGGACAAGCCATTTCAGTTCTGATTTGTATATTCTCTTTTTAAACCTTTCACAAACACATTGGTTTGTGATTTTTTTTTTTTTCAGAGTAGCATTGGTAGCTTTGATGTAGAAGTGGAAAAAGCATGTGAAGGATTAATGCAGTTCCTGCCCATCCCCCACCCCCACCCCCCACAATCTGTGTTATAATTAGGACTTTAGAGAGTTAAAGATTTTGGCATACAGTGCTTGAAGGGATGAAACTAGTAGCAGAGCTCGAATGGATTGGAAGACAAGAACATTGAGTGAAATGGGAGACAATGAAAGACAAAAGTGGGTTCTCTTCGGGTTTGAGAAATAGGTATAGCAGAAGTAAGGGGGAGAGCTGGGAGAACTAAAATTGTTGGTAAATTGCTTAGGATATATGAAATTTTTTGTGCGTTGACAAGGTATAGATTTTGACTATGAGTGGGTAGGCTGAATTACACTAAGACAAATTGAAGAGGTTTAAAAAAAAACTTGAAAAAACCCTGTCTTGTTTTCAGATGGGTTTTCTATATACTTGCTAATATTACTTTAAGATGAGGGTAGAATTTTTGGTGGAGAATAATTTTATTAGTCAGGGTCCAAAGCCTTTGAATTTTGTCCAAGTGTGATAAGGGTGGTTGAAGAGACATCTAAAAAATAGTGTAGTCAGATATTGCAGGATAAATGATTTGGTGTTGATGTTGTCGGCTGTGGAGAACAGGAACTCTGGTCCTTGTGGTGCATGTGACTTCTGAGGATGGGGTTTCTCAAGAGGAGGCCTTTAGGCAAGCAGTAAATTCTATTAAAGCTCAGGTTTAATAAGATAAGTAGACGTAGGGAGCTTTCTGGGAAGAGGTTCAGGGTGGAGTTGGTTCTCTCTCTCTCTCTCTCTCTGTCTCTTCCCTTTTGTGTTTAAAGGAAGACTCCAGAAAGCACAAGAGAAGGTATAAGAAGAGAGTATAAGGAAACTTGACTCAGGGCAAAGAAAGCATTGATTAGAAATGGATTCAAAATCCAGGAGATGATTAGTGTTGGGTCAGGCATGTTCATTTTTATATCTTCTGTGTAAGTCCTCTTAGATTAGCTTGATTTAAATGCTTTTCCTTTTTGTTCTTATAAAAAACGGCACCTACCTTCATCAATATGTTGATCACAGTCAGAGGTGAAATTAAGTTTTTGGGCCTGATGCACGTACAAGATGAGGGCCCCACTTTAAGAAAAATAATACCAAGTTACAATTGCAGAAAATAAGTATGAAAATGAGGATTTATTTAGCATAAGAAAGAAGCTGCAACAAATTATAAATATTAAAAGGTTGAAAACACCATAAACATCAAAAAATTTAATCCCTTCATATTTATATTAATCAACTTCCTGACTCACTTTTATGATACCTTTTCCCTACAGTTTTTAAATTGCTTCTTATTTAATTGTCTCCCTTAAGAGAATTATTTTGTTATAATTTCTGTGGCAAGAACTGAAAGGCATTTGCCTTTCCCTGGTATGTTTAATAAAAATTTGTTTTGTATTATTAATGGTTTAGAAAAGAAAATTCAGCTTCATAGCTTGTTATTGGTAATGAGATAAATAATTAAATTTACTATTGTCAAATTTTAGAAAGCCTTTATTAAGTCTTTTATGTATGAATTATAATATTTCAGAGTTTTTCAGTTATAATATTTCTGATTTTTCTTGTATAGTGACTAATTTTGATCACTCATAATTTGAGGAGTTTCTTAAAGTCCATTGCGGAGCCCCTTTCAGGGTCTTTATGGAGGTCTGTACAATGAGGATCCCTGAAGCATAAACTTTGTTATCTTCAGATTAATCTGGTTTTGATCATATTACAATTACCTGTTTGTTTGTTTCTACACATGCTCAGTGCTTATTAGCCTCACTTTTGACAGTCATTTCAGACTATGATGAAATATATGGACTCTCTCCTCGGCAAAAAAAAAAGGCACAAAATATATAAAATATTGAATACAATATTATAGGCCTCCTAAAGCTTATTCTTGCTCCTGCCACAAGTTTCTGCACTAAATTGATAATTTATTTAATGCTCTGTATTTTGATTTTCTTTCTCTAATATCTAGCACAATGTCCTGCACTATGTATGCTCCAAACACATAAAGACTTGTTTAATAAATAGAAAAAGAAATGGATGAGCGTTGCCAGCCAGATTGTATGACAGGTGCAGAAATTCCCCACTTTCAAAAACTGTTGGTAAATATATTTGAGCAAACATTGGGACTCTTCCCTGGCGATCCTAAAATACCAGACTCTCCAATGGTTTTGCCCTAATAAGACAAGAGTTCCTTTTCCGAAGACCTTTAAACTGCACAGATTCTCATTTTCTCTTCTGAAAGCTTTTCCTTTTGTCTTTGGGACTCTCCTGTCAGTAACTGGGGAGAAAAACATTATGTTCTCCATACCCTTAAAGGATGTCAGTGTTTCAAGAATTATTTTTCTTTTCTAAAAATTATAATACAATATGAATACATTTTAGTAGCATTAATTTATAATGCAAAACACTTCACCACCCTTCCTCCCATTTTCATTTTTCATTGTAAGCAGAACTATACAAGACATTATAGAGGATACTAAAATAAATGAAAATCATAAACCATGCCGTCAAGAATCTTGCAGTCTAATAAAGTTGTAAGTAAAGATGAATACAATGTGGAATAGTAAATAACTTTGAGATAAAGAAACTAAAGTAAATCATAAGACTGATGCAACTTGACACAGAATTTTGATTATTTTTGATGTCTCCAGTTTTGATAGTCAAAGGAGACACTATCAATAGATATTGCAAGGGCAACAGGCATAAACTAATACTATCTTGGACAAATTGAGATATAGAGCCACCCTACTTTTAAGTTTCTTTACTTTTGCTTTTACTATTTATTATGGACATTTTCATACTGCCTGTAAAGACTGAGATAACTATTTAAGTACCCATCTTCCAACTTCAACTATTATCACCACGTGGCCAATGTTGTCTCCTCTATACCCCCTAAATCCCCACCCTCATTTACTAAAAGCAAATCCAAAGCATTTTCTTGATTCATCAACCAGTTTTTCACCACTCCATTCTTTTTCTCTCCTGATTTCCTTACTTATCACCTTTCCAACCCATCTTTTTATTTTTACTTCCAACATTGCTCTGCCAGGACACAGATCCGTAGGGTCAGCCCTGCATCCTGAGCAGCTTAGAGGGAGAAGCCAGACCAGCAGTGCCTCACACCTTGTCCTCTTCTGCTCTGGACAGATGGCTCCATAACGACAGCTTCATAATGGCAGTGGATGGGACCCTAGTGTACATCAGGGTCACTCTTCTGCTGCTCTGGCTTGGGGTATTTTTGTCTATTTCTGGCTACTGTCAGGCTGGGCCCTCCCAGCATTTCACTTCCCTGGAAGTGGTGATCCCCTTGAAGGTGATCAGCAGGGGCAGAAGTGCAAAGGCTCCTGGATGGCTCTCCTATAGTCTGCGGTTTGGGGACCAGAAACATGTTGTTCATATGAGGGTTAAGAAGCTCTTGGTTTCTAGACACCTCCCAGTGTTCACCTACACAGATGAGCGTGCACTCCTGGAGGATCAGCTCTTCATCCCAGATGACTGTTACTATCATGGTTACGTGGAGGGTGCCCCTGAGTCTCTGGTTGTGTTCAGTGCTTGTTGTGGGGGCTTTTGAGGAGTATTAAAAATAAACGGCCTCACTCATGAAATTGAACCCATCAGGCACTCTGCCACATTTGAACACCTGGTTTACAAAGTAAACAGTAATGAGACACAATTCCCAGCTATGAGATGTAGCTTAACAGAGAAGGAAGTAGCACGCCAACAGTTGGAATTTGAAGAGGCTGAGAACTCAGCTCTGGAACCAAAATTTGCTGGTGACTGGTGGACTCATGCATGGTTTCTGGAGCTCGTTGTTGTGGTGAACCATGATTTCTTCATTTACTCTCAAAGCAACATCTCAAAGGTGCAAGAGGATGTATTTCTTGTTGTCAACATAGTGGATTCCATGTATCAGCAGTTAGGTACTTACATAATTTTGATTGGAATTGAAATTTGGAATCAAGGAAATGTTTTCCCAATGACAAGCATAGAACAGATCCTAAATGATTTCTCTCAACGGAAACAAATCAGTCGTTCCCAGCTACAACATGGTGCTGCACATACGTTCATAAAAAATTCACTTATAAGTATACTTGGCCTAGCCTACATTGCAGGAATATGTCGTCCACCTATTGATTGTGGAGTTGATAATTTTCAAGGAGATACCTGGTCTCTTTTTGCCAACACTGTGGCCCATGAGTTAGGTCATACGTTGGGTATGCAGCATGATGAAGAATTCTGTTTTTGTGGGGAAAGAGGTTGCATCATGAATACTTTTAGAGTGCCAGCAGAGAAATTCACCAATTGCAGTTACGCTGATTTTATGAAGACCACCTTAAACCAGGGATCATGTCTGCAAAATCCTCCAAGATTGGGGGAAATCTTTATGCTAAAGCGCTGTGGGAATGGTGTGGTTGAAAGAGAAGAGCAGTGTGACTGTGGATCCGTACAGCAGTGTGAACAAGATGCCTGTTGTCCATTGAACTGCACTCTAAGGCCTGGGGCTCCCTGTGCTTTTGGGCTTTGTTGCAAAGACTGCAAATTCATGCCATCAGGGGAACTCTGTAGACAAGAGGTCAATGAATGTGACCTTCCAGAATGGTGCAATGGAACATCCCTTCAGTGTCCAGAAGATAGATATGTGCAGGACGGGATCCCCTGTAGTGACAGTTCCTACTGCTATCAAAAGAGGTGTAATAACCATGACCAGCATTGCAGGGAGATTTTTGGTAAAGATGCAAAAAGTGCATCTCAGAATTGCTATAAAGAAATCAACTCTCAGGGAAACCGTTTTGGTCACTGTGGTATAAATGGCACAACATACCTAAAATGTCATATCTCTGATGTCTTTTGTGGGAGAGTTCAATGTGAGAATGTGAGAGACATTCCTCTTCTCCAAGATCATTTTACTTTGCAGCACACTCATATCAATGGTGTCACCTGCTGGGGTATTGACTATCATTTAAGGATGCACATATCTGACATTGGTGCAGTGAAAGATGGTACTGTGTGTGGCCCAGGAAAGATCTGCATCCACAAGAAGTGTCAGTCTGTCTGTCTTGTCACACATCTGCCTTCCTGAGACCTGCAATATGAAGGAGATCTGCAATAACAAACATCACTGCCACTGTGGCTAGGGGTGGTCCCCGCCCTACTGCCAGCACAGAGGCTATGGGGGCAGTGTTGACAGTGGCCCAGCATCTGCAAAGAGAAGAGTTTTTTTTTTTGCCATTGATTGTGATTCCTTCTTGTCTGTTGTGATTTTCCTCTTTACTGTTGGGCTTCTTATGTATCTACGACAATGTTCTGGTCCCAAAGAAACTAAGGCTCATTCATCAGGTTAAGAAAATGTCTCTAATTTAATATTCCATGAATTATTACACTTTAGTCTCTTTGCAGCAGAAATGTTAGTACATCCCTGAAACTGAGCACATTTTTGACCATTTCCAGAAAGCTGCAAAGATCTTCCCTTACGTCAGTACCACAAACATTGTCATTAAGTGCAGGTTATTCTTAACATGTTTCTATCTATTGTTCATTGTTTTAAGCAGCAACTGAAGCTACATCTTTCCCTCCCTTTAGTCCTTGTTGTTTCTCATGCTTAGAGATGACTTATGGGAAAGGCATGAGATGTTTCTGCATCAGCGTGTCCAGGGGTGAAGCTTACCTCTCTACTGACATTTATCAATGTGGGAAAATTACTTACATATTCTGATGTTTTGCTTCAAAATCTAAAAGGGGGTAGGGGTCATAATAATATTTGTCCCACCCAAGTCTTTGAGTTTATTTGGTTACCAAAAGAGAGAAATAACTGAATTTTTTAAAGTATAAAAAATTGTTGTTTGTCTGATAAAAGCTCTTGACTTGCTCCCTGTGTGTTTCCTAGCTCTTTGTTTTAATCTGGCAGTTTGGATATCCTTTTGGAGCATTTGCTTTGCATACCAAAATATAATCTCCATGAGGGTGGGGTAGTTTTATCTGTTTTGCTCACCATTATGTCCTCAATAGCCTGAACAGTGCACAGTGCTTACTACACAGTAAATACTTAAATGAAGCAATGAATTTGAATGGAGTATTAAATACATGAATTAATTATGAAAAGCAAAAATAATATTTTGATACCTTGATGATGTCATTCTGATCCTCTCTTTTAACTACTGGAGCTCTTGCTCAAAATTAAACTTTGAATATTTAAAATGTGTTTATTTAAAATGCTGCTGTTTGAACCTGGTGCAATTTGCTGGTCTTTTGTCCTCCACTGTATCTTCTCTTCAGTCTATTCTCAGTGTTTTTGGAAAGCCTGTCTCTTGAAAACAGAGTGAATCAGATACCCTTTTTATTGATCAGTTAACTTCTGAATGGCACTCTGTAAATAGAGTCAAAAAACTTTTTGGATATCATTTTTTATTACACTTGCCAACTTTGTGTCTTCTACCTGTTTTATGTTTACAATATATTTGGCTGTGTCATTCTCTGCATATTTGTACATGAAATCCCCATTCCCAAAATGCTGTTTACCACCCTGCCCCTACTCCCTTGCCCTGGAAAACTCCTGTTTTCTCTCAATAGAGGTTAAATGTTATATCTTCGTAGAAACATTCCTTATGAAATGGTAAGTGTTCCACTTGTGTGCCCCATTACTTTGTGGTCACCCCTTTATGATTTGATGTCCTCTAGGAATAGAGATGGAGAGGGTCCAACAATGTGCTAGCAAAAAGAAGCAGAGGACAGCTACTGGAGCCATACAAGGAGGGAGGAGTGAATCAAGAATACAATCTGGTTAAATCAGAGAAAGCGCCACATGTTGTAAGTGTACACATCCGTATGGAGAAAAAAGATAATTGCTCCAGTTTATTGATTCTTTTTTGAAAGGTTTATTCCCACAGAAACACAAACTGCTATCAGAGAACACTATAAACATCTCTATGCAAATAAACTAGAAAATCTAGAAGAAATGGATAAATTCCTGGCCATATACACCCTCCCAAGTCTAAATGAGGAAGAAGTTGAATCCTTGAATAGACCAATAACAAGTTCTGTAATTGAGGCAGTAATTAATAGCCTACCAACCAAAAAAAGTCCAGGACCAGATGGATTCACAGCCTAATTCTACCAGAGGTACAAGGAGGAGCAGGCACTATTCCTTCTGGAAACTATTCCAAGCAATAGAAAAAGAGGGACTCCTCCCTAAGTCATTTTGTGAGGCCAGCATCATCCTGATACCAAAACCTGGCAGAGACACAACAAAAAAGGAAAATTTCAGGCCAATATCCCTGATGAACATCGATGCAAAAATCCTCAATAAAATACTGGCAAATCGAATCCAGCAGCACATCAAAAAGCTTATCCACCATGATCAAGTTGGCTTCATACCTGGGATGCAAGCCTGGTTCAACATATGCAAATCAATAAACATAATCCATCACATAAACAGAACCAATGACAAAAATCACATGATTATCTCAATAGATGCAGAAAAGGCCTTTGACAAAATTCAACACCCTTCATGCTAAAAACTCTCAATAAACTAGGTATCAATGGAATGTATCTCAAATTAATAAGAGGTATTTATGGCAAACCCATAGCCAATATCATACTGAATGGGCAAAAGCTGGAAGCATTCTCTTTGGAAACCGGCACAAGACAAGGATGCCCTCTCTCACCACTCCTATTCAACATAGTATAGGAAGTTCTGGCCAAGGCAATCAGGCAAGAGAAAAAAATAAGGGGTATTCAAATAGGAAGAGAGGAAGTCAAATTTTCTCTGTCTGCCGATGACATGACTGTATATTAAGAAACCCCATCATCTCAGCCCAAAATCTCCTTAAGCTGATAAGCAACTTCAGCGAAGTCTCAGGATACAAAATCAATGTGCAAAAATCACAAGCATTCCTATACACCAATAACAGACAAGCAGAGAGCCAAGTCGTGAGTGAACTGCCATTCACAATTGCTACTAAGATAATAAAATACCTAGCAATACAACTTAAAAGGGATGTGAAGGACCTCCTTAAGGAGAACTACAAATCACTCCTCAAGGAAAGAAGAGAGGACACAAACAAATAGAAAAACATTCCATGCTTATGGATAGGAAGAATAAATATCATGAAGATGGCCATACTGCCCAAAGTAATTTATAGATTCAATGCCATCCCCATCAAGCTACCACTGACTTTCTTCACAGAAGTGGAGAAAACTACTTTAAACTTCGCATGGAACCAAAAAAGAGCCCGCATAGACAATCCTGAGCAAAAAGAACAAAGCTGGAGGCATCATGCTACCTCACTTCAAAGTATACTACAAGGCTACAGTAACCAAAACAGCATGGTACTGGTACAAAAACAGATATATAGACCAATGGAACAGAAGAGAGGCCTCAGAAATAGCACCACACATCTACAACCATCTGATCTTCGACAAATCTGACAAAAACAAGCAATGGGGAAACGATTCCTCATTTAATAAATGGTGTTGGGAAAACTGGCTAGCCATCTGCAGAAAACTGAAACTAGACCCCTTCCTTACACCTTACACAAAAATCAACTCAAGATGGATTAAAGACTTAAATGTAAGACCTAAAACCATAAAAATCCTAGAAAAAAACCTAGGCCATATCATTCAGGACATAGGCAAGGGCAAACACTTCATGTCTAAAACACCAAAAGCAATGGCAACAAAAGCCAAAATTGGCAAATGGGATCTAATTAAACTAAAGAGCTTCTGCACAGCAAAAGAAACTGTCATCAGAGTGAACAGGCAACCTACAGAAGGAGTGAAAATTTTTGCAATCTATCCATCTGACAAAGGGCTAATATCCAGAATCTACAAATAACTTAAACAAATTTACACACAAAAAAATCAAAAAGTGGGCAAAGTATATGAACAGACAGTTCTCAAAAGAAGACATTTATGCAGCCAACAAACTTATGAAAAAATTGTCATCATCAGTGGTCATTAGAGAAATGGCAATCAAAACCACAATGAGATACCATCTCACGCCAGTTAGAATGGTGATCATTAAAAAGTTAGGAAACAACAGATGCTGGAGAGGATGTGGAGAAACAGGAATGCTTTTACACTGTTGGTGGGAGTGTAAATTAGTTCAACCATTGTGGAAGACAGTGTGGTGATTCCTCAAGGATCTAGAGCTAGAAATACTATTTGACCCAGCGATCCCATTACAGGGTATACACCCAAAGGATTATAAATCATTCTAGTATAAAGGCACATGCATACGTATGTTTTTTGTGGCACTATTCACAAAAGCAAAGACTTGGAACCAACCCAAATGTCCATCAATGATAGAGTGCATAAAGAAAATGTGGCACATATACACCATGGAATACTATGCAGCCATAAAAAAGGATGAGTACATGTCCTTTGCAGGGACATGGATGAAGCTGGAAACCATCATTTTCAGCAAACTAACACAGGAACAGAAAACAAAATACTGCATGTTCTCACTCACAAGTGGGAGTTGAACAACGAGAACACCTGGACACAGGGAGGGGAACATCACATACTGGGTCTGTTGGGTGATGGAGGGCTAGGGGAAGGATTTCATTGCGAGAAATACCTAATGTAGGTGACAGGTTGATGGGTGCAGCAAACTACTATGGCACGTGTATACCAATGTAAGAAAACTGCACATTCTGCACATGTACCCCCAGAACTTAAAGTATATATAAAAGAAACCATTGAAGTTGATTATAGTAATATTTGTCAGCCTATTGTTCTGTTATATTTGCTGAGTTTTGTATTTCTGCTTGAGATTACATTGAAATAATCCATTTTTTCTGGGATTATGTTGGTTTCAGCTTTTATGCTTAATTGTGGAATTTATTTTGCTATAAGGAATGAGATAGGTATCTAATTGTATACTTTTCCAAATGGGTAGCCTGTTGTCCTGTTACACTTCATACAATAAATCCTTTATCAGTGCTTTGCTGGCAAATTGGTATCCTGTATTGTATGTTAAAGTTAATTTGTTAGAGTCACCTTATTTTACTTGTAAATTTTTACAGGAAGCAGTGCATTTTGCAATATTCTTATTTTAAGAAAAGATGTATAGTTATTTTATATTTGTTGAGTTAATTAGAGCTATATCAGTTAATTATATCAGGATTGGTGGGTAGAATTAACCTTTTTATAAGAAGCATAGAGTCTTACCTCCTGTTTTAATTTGGATTGCCCAAAAAGCAGACCCAGAGACAAGGATTTAGGTGGAGTTAGTTTTCTGGGGAAGCACAAAACAGGGCAGACTAATGAACAAGTTTTCTCTGTGTACTACTTGAGTCATCCCTGTAGGCTTTCTGAGAAGTCATGTGAAACACACCTTTGATTAATATTCCATGGTTCAGGAGAAAGCTGTAAGGAAAAGAATATCTGAGATATAAGCACTTGAAGTGGTAAACTCTCAGAGCATGGAGATTGTCTACTGTGGCTGCAAGTGAACTCAAGTGGGACAAGAAGATGGAGGGTGGGCTTTCAGCATCTACTGTACCCAGGTTCCTTAGAAAACATATGCTGAAGCAAGGAATAAATCTAAATGGTTTATTTGGAAAATACAATCCTAGGGAAATGAGAGTAAAATTAAAAGTATTTGGGACTGGAAAGTCTGGTACAGAAGATGCTGGTGGTACGCACCTGTATCCTCTTAGACCGAACCTTGAGGTTTTCTGTAGTACAGGAGATCTACACACTAAAGGCTTTCTACTTTATGGGGGAGGGGGTGTGCTCAGTGCATTCATGGAGCAGGCTGGAAACAGGAAGGAGTTAATGCATCTGAAAACAACTCTGGACCAATGAGAGATGTGTAAATGAACATGGTAGTTTCCCCAGTCCTCATGGGACTTCTCTGCGGTGTTGGGGCCCAAGACAGGGTGTACATTGTTAGTATAACAGGAACTGGGTCTCTCTACCTTCCCTCAAAAAAACCCCAAACAAACAAACAAACAAACCCAAAACCCTTTTCTTTTCTTCACAAAGTCTTCTTTGTTCTTTGAGCACCTATTGAAAAAGCTGACTGGAGACTGTCTCAGTCTATTCAATTCTCCCTCTGATCCTCCACTACAGACTTTCTTTCAAACTGTGTCTTATTGTCATTAACCCTTACTGTTTTCTGAACAGTTTGGGCACAGAACTGACATCCCTTTGCTCCAGTCTTCCAAACCCTGGCCACGTGAACTAAGCCATCTGATTGCTGGGTATATCAGCATCTAGTTTGTGCAAAATTATCTGAACTTATTTTCGTTCCTGCTGATGCAAGTGCCTGGTGGGTCAAATCCGGAGGCGGATGCATGACAAGGTATGGCTTCCATGAAAAGAAAACAACGCCACACTTCTTCTCCTTTTGGTGAGTTGGACACCTGTATAGAAGGTGGACTGACAGGGACACATATGGATACACAGATGCCAATATGACAGAAGACAAGGCACAACAAAGCCCAATCTGTTGGGTCACAAATTTCACTTTGACATTATTTGTGAACCACACTGGTCTTTTTATCTTGTGTGGTGACAAGGTCTATGAAGGGTTCCCACTTACATGGTCAGAATGATGGGGACTCAGATACCTAACGCCTTTGTCACCAGGTACTCCTCCTTCAATGCCAGCCTAATTATAAACTTGGGCTCCTTTGTTCATAAAGTAGTGCCACACAAGTGTGCTACATGAGATTTTATAGAAAATCCACTTATATGTCACAATTCTAAGTTCCTTTCCATGCTGAGATCCATTTTCCCAGGCTTTGGAACTTATGAGAGGGAAAGGGCAATTCTCAATGTTTCCATAGTAATAGAACAGGAGTCAGTATTACTATGCAAGCACTGAGAAGACTCCAATCAGAAGTGAACAGTTTAGCCTCTGTTGTACTTCAGAATCACCATGTCCTGGATACAATGACAGCCCAAGAAGGAGGAGCTTGAGCAATCATTGGTAAGGAACGCTGCTTACATGTAAACCACTAGGGACAAATAGAATCTAATCTGAACTTTTTGCAACACAAGATAAACACTGTTCATCATATAAATGAGGCTAAACCATTCAATTGGACTGACCCATTGCCAGGGATAGGAGACTGGTTGAATGCAATATGGGTAAATGTGTTTAGATTTGTTCTTTTCTGCTTATTAATTCCCCTTCTAATTTGTGTTCTTCTCTCCCTTTGCAGATCCCCTGCCACTCAGCTACTTATACAACTCTTCTCTCCACAAATACTAATTCAGCTTTTAATTTGAAACTGTTAGGGAAGTTTCAGACAGGGAAAATAAAGGAGTTAAAAGTATGCCTGCAGCTCTAAAATATGTCAAATTAGTGTATTGATTACTTCAAGCTCAAAGTACTTTGGAAACTGTAGTTCCAGAAGTGACTATCTGACCTGTCTTTTCCTGCATATAGCAAGCCATAAAACTTCCATGGAGAAAGATGCCTTCCCTGTGCCGGGACAAGAAAATAACCCTATCCCCAGGATTGGAAATTGTTGCTTCAGTAGACCTGTACAAATAAACTAAAGTAACTCTTATCTCCCAACTAGCTTTATAACTCCTCCTTGACACTCCCCACCAGTAGATCTCCTAGTGACTTCCCTGGAATTCACTGTCCCTAGCTTAGATCCTTTTGTGTCACGGTCCCAATCCCTGTTGGACTGAACAAAGGGGGATGAACGCGGGAATAAAGACAAAGACAAAAGAGTATTTTTGGTTGAAGGGGTCAGGGGGCTCCTTACTTCTAGTGAACAAGGGCTTTGAGTTTCTAGCTCCCTTCATATTTATTGAGAAAAGAAGATAGGGAGAAGGAGGTGGTTGTCAGTAGGCTGCTTGACTCGGCGCAGGCCTGCATGACTGCATTCTCTGAACAGTAGTCTCCAGATGTTCCAGCAGATAACCTCAAGGAGCATGGCGCCAGGGAGTGATTGCACCCAGCATATCTTCTGGCAGCTGTGAGTCTGCCCACATCCTGCATTCATGATAAACAGTTTGCTGTTTGATCATATAGCCTCCAGTGGAATGCTGAGTTGGTTACTACCCAAAGGCTTTTGGCTCTCTACACTTTTGTCTTGTCATTTCTTCACAGATTTATTGTTCTTTTTCTAAAAGTATAAAAACTTTCTGCTTTGACCACTATTTTGGGTCTTCACACTCTTGAGAGGATATCTGTGCATATGAGTTCTCCAGGGGGCACACAAACAGGTGGCAATGGTGGCAGAGATACAGGTACATTGGGCTCAATGGCATGGACTCCCACTTGCCCAGGGAGTTAATCAAGACACTTCTGCCATGAATGTCCAACTTGCCAGTGACACAGATCAAGGCTGAGTTTCTGGGAAGGTACAATTCTTCAAGGAAACCAAACAGTGAATTAGTGAGACATTGACTACTTTGTGCCCCTTTTATCCTGGGAGGGCCAGTGATTAGTTCACACAAGAAAATATACATATTCTAGTTATGATATTGTCTATAGAGCTTAAGCCAGCACCACTACTGGGGGCATATGGATTGTAAGATCTTTAAGGATGGAACCTCATGCAACTTGGCGTAAGAATAGAGGATTCATTCACTCTTTAGTGTATGGGTGCAGGAATGGTACGTAGCAATGAATTATATTGTTTGTATCATATATCAAATATTTAGTAGCATCTATTCTCCAAAAGTGCTTAGAATGGCCTGCAGAAGGCAGAGCCAGAGTGCCAGCTCAGAAACAATATTCTGAAAGAATAGAATTGAGTGCCAGCCTTCACAATGCATTGTGTATATTAAGTCAGAGATTCCTACATGGTGTTGTATATGCAATAGAAAGAATATATGGGGCCCAGAACCAAGGAAGAGAAGCTGGGTGGCCTCACTTATCATCACACTTGATGATTCACTGATCTGCTTCCGTCTCTGCAACTATCTGTTCTCTAGGCAGGTCTTGGTCCACAAAGAGAATGCATCTTTGCCAGGGGACCCAGCATAAGTTCCATAGACCTGCAAGCTGCCCTCAGGGCGTCTGGGACATCTTCTGTTCAAGGACTAGCAGGTAAAAAGAAAAGTCATTTTGGCAGGAGTAATTGACCCTGGATAGCAGGGGGAGGTAAGGCTGCTGAGCCCCAGTAGAGGCATGGAGGATTATATGGAGAAACTAGGGGATTCACTTGGGAGCCACTTGGAACCACCCAACGCAATGGTAACTGTGAATGGATATGTGCAGTAGTGTTGACCTCCTGAGATGAAGGTGCAAAAGATTTAAAACAAACATTACAGCAAGTGCTCTGGGTTCTCCCTGACTCCCACTTTTGTCCTTTTTCTTTTTCCTTCTTCTCTTTATTTTTTTAAAGTTAAAACAAAATTAATGTTATAAAGATGGGGTCTTGCTATGTTGCCCAAGCTGGTCTCAAAGCCCTGGGCTCAAGCATTCCTCCCACCTTGGCCTCCCAAAGTGCTAGGATTACAGGCACAAACAACCATGCCCAGTGCCCTCCCTGCAACCCTTTAAAAAAAAAAAAAAACTATATACCTCTCACAGCCCATAGCTATCCAAAAACCCATGAGGTTTGTAAAGACAGTTCTCAGAATTATTGTTCTGTTGGTTATTAGACTCCAAAGAAGGGACAAGGAAATACGAATAGTCTCCATCTATGAGTTTTGGTTAAGGTGAACACTGATGCTAAAATTGAAAGGACAAGGACAGCTACTCGAAACATTCCCATCTTGTAAAAACCTTGACCCTGCTTCACTTGTGATATCACCTGGTCTTCAGGTACTCCCTCATGTAGTTCAATTGAATCAAGCCTTTAACCTCTGTCTGAGTCACTTAAAAAAACTATATATATATTTAATAATTTTGTGTTGTTACTTGGAATAGTTTTGGACAAAATGCCAACACTGCCCAGTTTTGTGTCAAAGACAGCATTATCAAAGCACCCTAATTTCCTTGGGTGAAGAGGTAAGCCCTGCTCTTGGTCTCTGATTCTTTTCTTTTTTTCCCTCATTTAAATTTTTATTCTTGATTTCCAACTTTTATTTTAAGGTCAGCGGTACATGTGCAGGATAGGACGTGCAGGTTCATTACATAGGTAAACACTGTCACGGTGGTTTGCTGCACAGATCATCCCATCATCTGACTTTCTTTCAGAGCATGGTGGTTGCATGCTTTGACTTTTTTCTAGGTACCCTTTTGTCAGACTGAAGTCAGCATTTTCCTTCCGTCTTTCAGAGTTCTTTAGATGTGCAGAGAGTTTAGGCAACTTTCCTAAGGTGGGACAAGACTCTTCTATTATCTCAAATTTCTTCTACTACGGAAACTCCTATTTAACCCAAACACCTGGCCAGATCTGTGTAGACATATGGTCTGGTGCAATGTTGATCGATCTGTTAAATTCTTAAGTGGCGTGATTTCATCAGGTATAAATTTGAAATGCACTGCCTTTGGTTACTTGGGACATGTCAAACTTGTGCATTTTTGTGTCACCTTAGAAGAACAGGGTAGCAGAATAGCTGACACTCCATGAATAACTTACTTTAATTGGTATGAAGAAACCAAGAAAAGAAAGATTTTGAAGTCTCTAGTCTTGAGTCCTGTTTTCAACAACTTCCATGGTCTTCCTTTCCCAAAGGACTCCTCCCTTCTGTCTACCTCAGTTTATGCCTCTGATTCTCACCTCCCTTCTATCCTGATCCCTATCTTCTTTTTGTTTGTTTGTTTGCAAACCAACACTGTTTCATTGTCAACACAACCAGCCCACTCTGCCCCGAGAAGGCTATGGACAATGGGTGTCTGGGGTCTGTGGGAGAGAGAGGTCAGCACTCTGAAAACTGCTGGGGCTACCACAGGGGCTGGGTGGGTCAGAGGTAGGGCCTGAGGGGCCAGCCACGGAGGAGCTGGGCCTAGGCTCCCCCTGGCTCACCTGCAGCAGGCCAGTGAGAGCGATCAGCTCCGGCCCGCTGAGCCAGGCAGTGGAGGGGCCCAGGGAGGGTGACAGGCGGGGGAGAACCTTGGCAGACATGATGGGGGGCGGCGGCAGCAGTTTCAGGGAGCCCATCATCTGCTGGGGGGCCTTGGACAGGTACAGGGGGACACGCTGCCCCCCGGGGCAGCAGAGGGTCCGAGAGGAAGACGTCTTCACAGCACATCACCGGGAACCCTGCATCCGGGGCCGCCTGCTGTCCATTCCAATGCCCTGTGGCAGGGGCCACGGGCCTGAGACCCCTGCCCGAGGCTGCCTCGTACAGCGGCCAGAACGAGGGGTGACACACCGTCTGGCCTGAGAACGAGGCTCCTGAGCTACAGTTGGCCCCCCAAACCAGCCGAGGTCCTGCTTTGGCTTCGTAGTTGGGGTCCCAGGGAGCTAGTGGAGTCATCCTCGAGGGGGCCACCTCCCAGGCCACCTGGGGGGAACGAGGATCTGGGGTTCCGGGGGGCTGCTCAGTGGCCGGGCCTGGCGGGTGGTGGGGCAGCAGCAGCTGCTCTCTCCGGGTCCAGGAAGGGCTGTCCCATGGGGGTGTCCCCAGCTCCCTGGGGGCGTCCGCTCCGGAGCTCCAGGGCTCGCCTCCTGGTCCTTGCCCGCCGCAAGGCCTGGTCCCTCGGGCGCCTCCTCCGGGCCCGCGCCCCACCGCGGCGGCGACCAGGGAACATTCCGCGTTCCCGAGCGCAGGACCATACCGCCGTGTACCCGCCGCCCGGCGCGGCCCGCTCAGCCTCCCTCCGAGGTGCCGCACGAACCTGCCCTCCTGGCGAACCCACCCCAGAGGCCTCGCGGCAACCCCTGATCCCTATCTTCTTAAAGTCCCCCTTGCTTCTTTTCTTCCACATCTCCAGCTCCCTCTTACTATTTGACCTGGAACATCACCTCTTGTTGCATATGACAAGCCCTAAAAACAAGAGAAAAGTTTTTAAAACACAAACACACACACACACGCACACACACACCGTCACTCTGTCACCCAGGCTGGTGTGCAGTGGTACAGTCATGACTTACTGTAACCTCCAGCTCCTGGTCTCAAGTGATCCTCCTGCCTCAGCCTCCCAAGTAGCTGGATCTATAGGGACACACTATATTACACCAGGCTGATTTTTAAATTTTTTTAGAGATGGGGTCTTGCTATCCTGCTCAGATTGGTCTTGAACTCCTGGCCTCAATTGAGCTTCCTGCCTCAGCCTCCTGAATAGCTAGGACTACAGGCACGTGCCACCATGCCTAGCTAATTTCTTTATATTTTGTGTTGATAGATTCTCACTATGTTGCCTAGGTTGGTCTCAAACTGGTACTCCCTCCTCAGACTCTGGAATAGCTAGGACTACAGGTATGTGCCACCATGCCTGAATAATTTTCTTATTTTTTAATATTTTATAGAGACATGGTCTCACAATGCTGCCCAGGTTGGTCTCAAACTCCTGGCCTCGAGGAATCCTCCCACCTCAGGCCCCCAAATCGCTGGGATTATTGGCGTGAGTCACTATGCCCAACCTTAGTGCACTATTTCTGAAGTGATTCTTCCAGTTTTCCTTTAGGTAAGATTTTGTGTCTGTACATTTATCAGACTGTCAGTTCCATCCTGTAATTTATAGATAGGCTGGGCTTAGCCAATTATTGGAGATTTTAAATATGAGATCCCATACCTTTATATCCAGAGAAACTGAGAAGTGATTTAACAGTGAATAACGATCCTTTCTGTAACAGTAAAGACAAAAAGCCAGAGACATTACATATGGGATTCCCCAGGCTTAGCATAATGCAAAAATCATGAGAATAATGAAAATGATAGCAGACAGCGTGTACCAAGTGCCCAGAACTTTGGGAGGCCAAGGTGGATGAATCACTTGAGGCCAGGAGTTTGAGACCAGCCTGGCCAAGATGGTGAAACCCTGTCTCTACTACAAATACAAAAAATTAATCTGGCGTGGTGACGCGTGCCTGTAATCCCAGATACTCAGGAAGTTTAGGTGGGAGAATTGCTTGAATCCGGGATGCAGAGGTCGCAGTGAGCCGAGATTGTGCCACTGCATTCCAGCCTGGCAGCCTATGCACCAGAGTGAGACCTTGCCTCAAAAAAAAAAAAAAAGGAAATTAAGAGTGTGAACAAATGTATATTAGTGTACACGGGATTTGCCACAGGGGTATCTAGAAAACATTAGCCCCAAATCTTAAATGAGTACAGGTCCTCTTGTTAGTGAATCTAAGAGTTTCTGCCGTCATCTATAGAAGTATTGAGAATACGACCACACATGAAATGTGAAGTAAATTTAAACACACAGACCCTTTTTAAATTGCCAAGTGATTTTACTTCAAGATGACATCAGAATTGCTAAAAGGTGATGTAACCGTCAGAGTGACTATTGATTATAACTCCCAGTAAGTGTCAACGTGATTTTCTCCATTGTGTGGGCTTCCATTAGTATTTACTCATTAGGTTCAGTAGTTTTCATTATTTTCTCTTCCATAAATTCTATTGCTTGTGAAAAGCCACCAAAGAGAAGTGAAACCAGAAAAAGGATGCAACGAGTAAATATTAAAAGTAGTGCTCAGTTTATATTCGCAAGTGTGCTGGCTGTAATACGATATTGTTTGTCAGGTGGAGGGCCACTATCTATACTACCTCCTTTTCCTCTCAGTTCACATGTTGGTGGTTGCCACCCATGCAGACAGTGACAATGTTTTTTGTTGTTACATACTCCTTTGTAATTGCATGTTTTAAGATCACACTCAAAATGCAGGTCTTGATAAGAAGTACAATTGTGTTTAAGACAGTAGCTCCCTGGGCCACAGGTTGCACCATCCACTACCAGCCCCATTTCTGGCAAGTCTGTCCCCTGGTGTGCTTCATAGCCAAAGCATTTTTCTTCTTTTATGTCGTGTACTAATATATTACGAAATGTAGTGTGCTCAGCTCAACCGGGAATGTGGCTGACACCGCTACAGTGCAACATTCCACAGAAAACATCATCTTCTTCACATGGAAAAGGTCTACTTCCCCCTCGCCGTAGAATAACCCCACAGTTTCCAAATCAGTTACCAATCCTATTCAATTTTTGATAGCACGCTGGGGAACCGTCTTTCACTTGGTAGCCAAAAAGGGCTTGACACTGCATATCACGGTCACTGCAGTTTCCTCTTATACAAACAGATACTGCTGAACATGGGGTTCCATCCTGGATGTAGATGTCATTTGGACACTCTTCCTTTTTCCCATCACAGTATTTTGGTAGATCACATATACCACCCAAGTCTCTGCAAACCACTCCAGGGGCAGCATATTTACACTTATGGCAGCAAAGTCCTGTATTGCAAACACTGCCAAGAGAAAGGGTACAAGAGGTCTCACAACATCTATCACTGGCACAATCTTTAAGGGAGCCACAGTCACATTCTTCCCTCTGATTTTTGATATTGTCTCCACAACGAGGAGCTACGTATGGAAAATTAGGTATGGAAAATTTGGAGCACTCAAACAAGGATCCCATTGATTAAACTTGCGTTGAATTATCTCATAAGAACAATTGCTCATCATATCATTAAGATCAGGAACAGGAGCCATGAGATAGTTGGTTCGTCGAAAACAATAACAACCAACAGAATCATGTCTCAAGCCCATGTTATGACCTAGTGCATGTGCTGTAACACATGCCCCCCTAAATAGGTGATACCTCATTATATACACAAACATTGCTCCCCAGTTGGGGTTGCATATTCCGTCAAAGCTGGCATAACACTCACTGTTTCCAAGTCAATTTGATGTAAAAACAACTGAGGTATCATGTGGAATTTGTGAAAACCATTCATAATATTTCCACGAACCAAACTCTCCTACAACCAGGTCGGCAGGCATGTTATACATTACTATATCCATATCATTCCATATGCACAAAACACGTACATAGACATTTAAATAAACTGGTTTGAAAATGGTATGTATGATGCTGTTAATAATCACTACATTCTCTATTATGTGTGACATATTAGGGTTCTGCATGAATAATCCATTAGTAACTGTGTAGTGAAGTTTCAAGTTTTTTCTATGATGCCTCCACAAATAAACGTGGCCTTCTCTGGGAGTTTCAGCCAGTTTTACCTTTTCAGATTCTTGATCTATCTCTTCCCCTTCAGTCTTACATCTACTGACCTCTCCTGGTCTTTCTTCTGACACAAGCAGAGATACTACATACTCAAATTTGGAAAAAGCCTCCAGGGGTTTGATTTCATAAGTCAGGTCATCCACCTGCAGCATGCCACGCAGACCTCCACGGCAGGTGTCCAATGTGGCCACAGACCCAGGAACCCCTTCCAGGTAGCAATCGTAGTAACAGTCTCGTGGGACAAAAGGGTAGTTCTCCTGCATGGCCCCTTGGTCATTATTAGTAAAAACAGGTAAATGTCTGGGCATCATGTTCTTCTTGAGCTTCATGTGAATCACGTGTCTTCGGCCCCGGAAATGCATGCTGTAAGAGAGCTGGTCTGGCATCTCAACTCCACCCCTCCTGTGGGGCACTTTCCTGGGGATCACAATTTCTGAGGAAGTGAAGCGCCATCCTGGTGGGTCATGAAAACAATAGACCTGGGACAAGAGTGCCCAGAGGACAGGCAGCCAGAGAGCACCTGTCAAGGGGTCCTGGACCCAGGCAGGTCCCATGAATAAGGGAGACTCTGACCAAAGAAAATGCAGTCAAATGGGAGGCAGAAAGAGGATTCCTCAGTCTTCAGCCTTCTCCTCAGGGCAGTTATGAGGAAAGCAGAGTGAGTCTGCAGGCTTGGCACCCCCTGATAGGCGAGGGGTAAGGGTTAGGCTATTACATAACAATGGTGTGCTCATCAGGGGAGGCTGTTTTCAGTGAGCTGGAGACCTAGGCCAGCAGGTCAAAGGAAGAGGAAAAAAAATGGCAGGAATTGAGAACAGCAGTATATAACTGAGCTGAAATGTCTCTTGTCCTCTAAGGGAAGTCATAAGTGGGGTTTGATGAGTAAGTGGGTTTAATGCAAGTTTAGGACACTTAAGGACATTTTTCTCAAGCCTAAATGAGGGAAGGACTCAACATGTAATTAAAAGAGGGAAGCGTATACAACGATAAGGAAAGTGGAAACTTCTCCTTAAAAGAATTTTGAGTGCTGCAATATACATATGTGTGCATGTGCCTTTATAGTATAATGATTTATAATCCTTTGGGTATATACCCAGTAATGGGATTGCTGGGTCAAATGGTATTTCTAGCTCTAGATCCTTGAGGAATTGCCACACTGTCTTCCACAATGGTTGAACTAATTTACACTCCCACCAACAATGTAAAAGCATACCAATTTCTCCGCATCCTTTCCAGCATCTGTTGTTTCCAGACTTTTTAATGATCACCATTCTAACTGGCGTGAGATGGTATCTCGTTGTGGTTTTGATTTGCATTTCTCTAATGACCAGTGATGATGAGCATTTTTTCATGTTTGTTGGTCGCATAAATGTCTTCTTTAGAGAAGTGTCTGTTCATATCCTTTGTCCTATTTTTGATGGGGTTATTTGTTTTTTCCTTGTAAATTTGTTTAAGTTCCTTGTAGATTCTGGATATTAGACCTTTGTCAGATAGATAGATTGCAAAAATTTTCTCTCACTCTGTAGGATGCCTGTTTTCTCTAATGATAGTTTCTTTTGCTGAGCAGAAGCTCTTTAGTTTAGTTAGATCCCATTTGTCAATTTTGGCTTTTGTTGCCATTGCTTTTGCTGATAAACAACTTCAGCAAAGTCTCAGGATACAAAATCAATGTGCAAAAATCACAAGCATTCGAATACACCAATAATAGACAAGCATAGAGCCAAATCATGAGTGAATTCCCATTCACAATGGCTACAGAGAAAATAAAATACCTAGGAACACAGCTTACAAGAGACCTGAAGATCTCTTAGAGGAGAACTACAAATCACTGCTCAAGGAAACAAGAGAGGACACAAACAAATGAAGAAAACATTCCATCCTCATGGATAGGAAGAATCAGTATTGTGAAAATGGCCATACTTCCCAAAGCAATTTAGACATTCAATGCTATTCCTATCAAACTACCATTAGCTTTCTTCACTGGAGAAAGCTAATTTAAATTTCATATGGAACCAAAAAAGAGCCCGTATAGTCAAGACAATCCTAATCAAAAAGAACAAAGCTGCAGACATGACGCTACCTGACTTCAAACTACACTACAAGGCTACAGTAACGAAAACAGCATAGTACTGGCACCAAAACAGATATATAGACCAATGGAACAGAACAGAGGCCTCAGAAATAACACCACACATCTACAACCATCTGATCTTTGACAAACGTGACAAAAACAAGCAATGGGGAAAGGATTCCCTATTTAATAAATGGTGCTGGGAAAACCGGTTAGCCGTGACAGTAGATTTCTCATCAGAAAACAAGGAAGTGAGAAGGAAGTGGCAAAACATTTTTCAAGTACTGAAAGAAAAGAGCTATCAACCATGAATTTTATATCATGTGAAACTGTCCTTCAGGAATGAAGAGGAAATAAAGACATTCTGAAAGGAAGGAGAACTACAAGAGTTTGCAGCTAGCAGATCTACTGTTAAAGATTGGCCAAAGGACACTGTGGAAAGTAGTTTGGAGATTTCTCAAAGAATTAGAAAGAGAACTTCCATTCAACTGAGCAATCCCATTACTTGGTGTATACCAAAGAAAAATAAATTGTTCTACCAAAAAGACACACGTATCTGTATGTTCATTGCAGCACTATTCACAATAGCAAAGACATAGAACCAACATAGGTGCCCAACAATGGTGGATTCGATAAACAAAATGTGGTACATCCACACTATGGAATACTATAGAGCCATACAAAGAATGAAATCATGCCTTTGCGGTAACTTAGATGCAGCTTGACACGATTCGTATCTGTGTCCCCATCCAAATCTCATGTTGAATTGTAATCCCCGGTGTTGGAGGTGGGGCATGGTGAGAGGTGATTGAATCATGGGGATAGATCCTTCATGAATGGTTTAGCATCATCTTCTCAGGTAATGGTGAGTGAGTTCTCATGAGATCTGTTTGTTTAAAAGTGTATAGCACCTCCCCCTTCACTCTCTTTGTCCTTCTCCAGCCATATGAAAAGTGATGGCTTCCCCTTCACCTTCTGCCATGATTGTAAGTTTCCTGAGCTCTCACCTGAAGCCAAGCGGATGACAGCATCTTGCTTCCTGTATTGCCTGCAGAACTGAGTCAATTAACTTCTTTTCTTTATAAATTACCCAGTCTCAGGTATTTCTTTATAGCAGTGCGCGAATGAACAAATACACACCTGAAGGTAACAGAAAACCAAAAACCAAATACAAATAAGAATTAGCTATAACAAATAGAAATAGATAATGAAATGGAAGACTTAAGAATTAACAATAATTACCTTAAATGTAAATGATCTTAATATACCAATCTAAAGACAGAGAGAAGGAGAGTGGATAAATAAAAATGACACAACACTATGCTGTGTATAAAAAATTCACTTCAAATCTAATTACATAGGCTGAATGTAAAAGAACTGAAAAAGATTTACCATGCAAACATTGATTTAAAAAAACCAGGAGTGGCTACATACTTTCACACACAAATGGGTACAAATATAACTGAGGAAATCTGAGTAAGCCCAGTGAATTTTATTGATGTTAACAACCCAGTTATGTTATTGTACTATAGTTTAATAACTATATTTTTCTTCCATTGGGAGAAACTAGGTAAAAGCTGTATGAGATCTCTCTATTATTTTTATAACCACCTATAATTATCTCAATAAAATTTTCAATTGAAAATTTGAATGAGTAGTTTAAAATCTTCCTAAAAAGAAAACAAGCTTTGATGGTTTTATAAGCTAATTCTACCTAACAGTCAAGAAATAAATAACTCCAATGTTGTACCATTGAACATTCTTCAATTCATTTTAAGAGATGGTATAATCATGACACTTAAACCTAAGAAAGAGGGCACAAGAAAGAAAATTATAGCTTGCCCTCAATAATGACCATGGATTTAAAAATCCTACACAAATATTAAGTCAGATACAGCAATGTATAAAAAAGACAGTACATTACAACCAAGTTGAATTTATTTTAGTAATGCAATATTGTTTCAACATTTGAAAATCAATATAATTCAGCATATTAAAGATTAAGGAAGAAAGACTATATAATCAGATCCAATAATGCAATTACTTGGCTAAAATCTAACATCTATTCATAATTTAAATAAAAAACAACCATTAGCAAACTAAAATGAACCTACAACAAACATCATACTTATCTGTGCAACAATGAAGCATTCTCTTTAAGATTTATTACAAGACACAGATTATGTATTATCACTTTCATTAATCATTGTTCTGGAGTTCCAAGCCAGCACAGTAGGCAAGAAAAGAAATAAATGTATAAGGATTGAAAAAAAAAAGTAAAACTGTCATAATTTACAAAGGTTGTGATTTTCTTTGTAGAAAATCCAAAATAATCCACAGATAAATTACTCAATTAAGAGCAATTAGAATGTTTATTACATAAAATACAGTTACATAAAATAATTATGTTTTATTATGGCCACAAGAAACTAAAAATAATATTTACAGGATCCTCAATATGTAAGTACCTAGAAAAAGCTAGCAAAGGTACACAAGACCTTTACTAAGGAAATTATAACTCTTTCACAAATTAGTTACCAAAACAAGAGATACAGCATATTCACGGATTGGAAGACAATATTATAAAGATGTCAGTTCTCTGTTAAATTGATGTATTTATTTACTGCAATTCCAGTGAAAACTTTAAAAAGTATTTTGCTGATATCGAAATGGGAAAGTTCACTTGTGCCCCTAGAAGGGTGTGCGATGGGGGTGTGGCTTGCTTCTTAGGTGCCTGGATGCTCAAACCTCTAGCAGGATCATGCAGATGGGTAGGTTGTGGGGCTCTGAACCCAAGGCAGCGTCTAGGGGTGAATGTTTACAGCTGAAGCCCTAGTGGGCGTGTGTTACAGTATGCTCTTTCAGTTTAGCTGTCCGTAGGTGGCTTGTGTTAGCTCAATTAGACCCCTTCCCTTATCTGTCCCTTAAGGACAGGGGGCTTTCTGTATCCCAGGGTTTCCTGCCTTGGTGTACAGGAAGAATTAGATTACACATGGGTTTGAAAAATGAGTGCAAGGTTTTATTGAGTGGAAGTAGCTCTCAGCAGATGGGGGAGCCAGAAGGGAGATGGAGTGGGAAAGTGGTTTTCCCCTGGAGTTGGGTGCTCAGCAGCCGGGCTCTCCTCCGACGCCCCAGCCGAACTCCACGTTGTTCCACCAGTCTCCTGCCAGCATCTGTCGGTGTGCTCTTATGCCCATGTGTTCCTCTCAACGTCCAGCTGCTTGTGTCTCTGCCCACTAGGGTCTTGGGGTTTTTATAGGCACAGGATGGGGGTGTGGCAGGCCAGGTGGTCTTGGGAAATGCAACATTTGGACATGAAAACAGAAATGTCTGTCCTCACCTAGGTCTGTGACCGCAAGCCTGAGGTGGAGCCCTAGCCAGGGACCATGCCCTTCCCTTCCTAGCATTTCCCTGCGCCCCCGTACCAATATTACGGGAAGAATACTGTGGAAGAATAAAGTGCCAAAAACAGCCAAGACACTCTTGAGAAAAAACTTCAAGATTGGAGGAATACCTATCAGTTACAGCGAGTCTTTATATAACTCTAGTAATTAGGGAGAGTGTGCTATTAGTGGAGATGTAGACAAGTATTTCAGAAGAATAGAATGGAAGCCTTGGAAAAACTCATCCAAATATTGAAACTTGGTATATAATAGGGTTGACAGCAGATAAATAGAAAAAGGATATTTCTTCCATAAATGATGCTGTAATAATGGATAAAACAACTCACATTATACACAAAAATTAATATTTATCAGATGGCTCATGAATCTAAATGTCAAAGGCAACTATAAAAGTTCTCCAGGACCTTTATACACGCTGGTCCTTGTGTTCAGAATGTTCTGTTATAACCTCTGTCTGCTTAACTGCAACTCACCCTTCAGATTTCAGCTTATATATGACCTCCTCAAACAAGCCTCCTTGGTTGTCCAGGCTTAATTAGATTCTCTTGTTATAAGTGCTCAGAGGTCCTCTCCTTTGTTTTTTCCAAACTCTTTCTTTGAGATATACTTTACATAAAATAAAGTGAACAAATCTTAAGTGTTTAGCTTGATGGATTTTTTTACGTAGGTAAATGCCTGCGTAACCACCACCCAGGTCAAGACACACAAGATGCTTCTCTTAAGTTTAGGCACTTGATTTCTTTCTATTGTCAAATAAAAGAGGAGGCAGCGAGGATTAGATGGAAGTTTTGCTAACTGGTCCTGGAAAAAAAAAAGCCTATTTACACTACTCAAAGCAACTTCTAATTTAAAAATTATGTCACTTCCACACTCTCCATTCTCTTGTGGGTCTATTTTTATATGAATTCCATTCTTATTTCAATATTATAAACTTACCATATCCTCATATACGATTCTGAAGGTACCCTTTCCATGTATTTATTCAGTATTGTCATTTTTCTTTTGAGAAATTTTTCCTTTTTTAATAAATATTTTTCTTCTAGATGACTTTCAGAAATCATTTTATCAAACAGCCATAAAATCATGAAACATTCTAGGAACATGTCGTACCTTTAGTTTGCTTAAATTTTTTCATTCATGTCCTTAGTGGCAGAAATTGCTATGTGAATTCTGGTCACTGGAATGTGGATTAAATTGACATATGGGATGTCCAGCCCAGCCTTGCCCCTAAATTCAGTGTCCTTCCGCCTCAATGTCCTTCCCCTCAAAATTCTCCATACTCATTTCCCCATTTGACATGGCTGGAATAAAGATGGAAACGACCTCATATCAATTTTGGAAGCCATGTATTGGAGATAGGGGAGCCACAGTGATACAGACAGGGGGCGACCAAGGGTCCCCGGCAAAACCCGCCTTCAAGCCTAAAACAGCCTGAAGGCCGAAAAATCGGATTACTGACCTGGAGAAATCTCCCATTGGCCTACGCGCTGGGAGGAAGCGGTGGGGCCTCGGGAAGCTGCCGCTGTTTGCATGGGGAGGAGTCGGCCCCTCCCGTTCCTGTGCGGTAACCGGCAAGTTAGTCTGTGACGTGGGGGCCTGTTAACAGGAGCCCCTCTCACTCAGGAGCCCCTCTCACTTTGTTGAGAATCTTTTTCCTTTTCACCCAATACATTCCGTAACTTCTCACCCTTCAAAGTGTCTCCGTGCCTAATCTTTCCTCGTCGTGTCGCAAGAACCGAGTTTTTCCTACAAGAAGAAGGAAGTAACCTGGGTCCCTGAATTTCTTTTTTTTTTTTTTTTTTTTTTGAGACGGAGTCTCGCTCTGTCACCCAGGCTGGAGTGCAGTGGCGCGATCTCGGCTCACTGCAAGCTCCGCCTCCCGGGTTCACGCCATTCTCCTGCCTCAGCCTCCCGAGTAGCTGGGACTACAGGCGCCCGCTACCACGCCCGGCTAATTGGGTCCCTGAATTTCATCCGAAGAGCAGCTGCCCTCTGATCTGAAATACTCATTTTGTCTTTATGTGAGGAAGATATAAACTTTCACTGGGGTAAGCTGCTGAAATTTTGAGGCTGTGTATTATAACAGCTAGCCAGTTATGACTAATGCATTTTTTAGGAGGTTCTCTAGAACTTTTCATCATTGAAATTTTATGTTTATAATTTATTTTTAATGATATATTGGTTATAATTATGTATTATATTACTTTTAAAAACATATAATAATGTAGGAAAAATGAGAAATTAGGAAAAGTAAATTAAAATCACAGTAACATTGACATTCAATAACAGTTTTTAACATATCATTTCTATCTTTTCAGTTGTCCATTAGATGGTCACTCAATTTCTGTGCTTTCCCATGTTGTAATTTAAAAATAAGTTTACATTTCTTAAGTTCCCACTTGCCCGTAGAGTAGTTTCCAGATTTAGAAAATAAAAATATAGGATCCCTAGTTCAGTTTGAATTTTGACTAAATAATGAATAATTTTTTAGTATAAGTGTATCCCATGCAATATTAAAAATTACATTTTAAATATTACATTAAAATTTTGTTTACATTACTTAACATTAAAAATTTGTTGTTTATCTGAAACACAAATTTAACTGGGTATCCTGAATTTTACTTGTTAACCCTAAAATGCAAGGAATTAACATGAAAATGTGCCCCCGGTTGTTTTTTCTAAGTTTCATATATTAAGAAACAGTCCAGCATGGTCCTTCCCTGTTGTCATTTTTGCTGCCCTACTGCTGTCATCCTTGCTAATGGTTCTCATAAAAAAGCCTAGCTAAAGCTGTCTATATAGCTTGTTAGAGATTCATAAACAACAATGAAATAAGACTACAAGCTTGAGTCCATCTCAGAGTCCCTTATTGGGTACCACTCTTCCAAGTTCTTTACCTACCTTCATATGGTACAGTGAATTCATCTGCATCATTGGGAAAACTCTGAGTATCTCTGTGCCCCTAAATTCAGATTCGACTTCCCTGACACCCTTGTGAACACTTCTGCATCCTAGGCATCATCCTAAGTACTTTACATGCATTGCCTTATTTAATTGACTGAAATGACCAACGATCCTGGTTTGCCCAAGATTGTCCCAGTTTTAGTATCGCAAGTGTTGGTCCCATGAAACCCCTCACTAGGAAGAAAAGCCCCAGTTTTCAGTGATGGATGTGGAAGGTTGGGGGAGAAGTACAAAATTCATACAGTGGTTCAAAGAACAAAGGCTAAAAACAACATTGCTTTTATTATCAAATGATACAACATAAATTATCTCTTTTTCATAGCCACTGTCTCTGATTTCCCCTTGCCCGCTGATGCTGGCAATTGTAATTTGTGTTTGCAATAATTAATCATGCGTTATTGCATCCTCGAGTAATGCAGGTTAAGTGTGCAGCTTTAGAACTTAAAAAAAAAGCGCTGGAAAAAGCCAAGTTAAACAGGACTTCTCAATGTTTTTTTTTTTTTTTTTTTTTTTTACCACCTTGTAACTTACTTGGACTCCAGTTTCAATTTCACAAGTGCAAATTACCTATATGCCTCAAAACCATTTTCCGTGAGAAAGAAAAGTTCAGCTTAGGATGGCATCCAATGTGTTTTAGACTTTTTTTTTTTTGAGCATTTAAACCATGAATAGCCTATATGATGAATTTATAGATGCAAAGGGCTTGATTGACAAAGAACTAATCTGTCAAAACAAGCCTGTAGAAACAAAGTGGATAGGCATTTTTGGAGAGCTGGAAACTAATTCCTACAAGTCCAAAATTTCTGCTGTTGGCAGGAAGTAAAATCCTAAGCGTTCCATGTTCACATGCTTTTGTGAGAAAATATTTAGCTTTATGTCATCACATTGGACTGATATCCAGATTCAGCACAGTGTGGGCTTGCTAAGAGCGGAGCTGCAAGTCAAAGTGAATTTTATGTTTCACTGCTCAGTACTGATATTACACAAAAGAAAAGAAGCATGCTCTAAATGCTACAAGCAGTTCAGACAAGGATTATGGTAAAGGAAGCAGAAAGTAAAAATATAGGGCAGAAAGAAATGTCATTATTATTTTTTATTCAATGTAGGCAATATGTGTCAATTAGTCCTATTGATTTACATGAGCACTTTAAAAAACCTTACATTTATATATCTTAGAAGATACATCTATGGTCAACTTATAGTTGACAAGTGTGCCAAGACCATTCAATGGGAAAAGAATTGTCTTTTCAACAAATGGTGCTGGGACAGCTGGATAGCTGCATGCAAAAAATGGAGCTGGACCCTCATATGATTTGAATATATGTCCCTGCCCAAATATCATGTTGAATTGTAATCCCCAGTGTTGGAGGTGGGGCCTGGTGGGAGGTATTTGAATCATGGGGACGTAGCCCTCATAAATGGCTTAGCCTGTCCCCTTGGTGATAAGTGAGCTCCCACTCTGAGCTCTCCTGAGATATGGTCATTTAAAGGTGTGTGGTACCTTGCCCTCACTCTCTCTCTCTTGCCCTGTTCTCACCATGTAATGTGCCTGTTCCCCCTTTGCCTTACACCATCATTAGAAGCTCCCTGAGGCCTTCCTAGATGCAGATGCCACTATTCTTCCTGTACAGCCTGCAGAACTGTAAGCCAATTAAATCTCTTTTCTTATAAATTACCCAGTCTCAGGTATTTCTTTATAGCAATGCAAAAAACAGCCCAATACAGACCACTACCTCATGCCTTTTTTTTTCTTTTCTTTTTTCTTTTTTGAGACAGAGTCTCGCTCTGTCACCCAAGCTGTAGTGCAGTGGCACCATGTCGGCTCACTGCAACCTCCACCTCCTGGGTTCAAGCAATTCTCCTGTCTCAGCCTCTCAAGTAGCTGGGATTACAGATATGCACCACCATGCCCAGCTAATTTTGTATTTGTAGAGACAGGGTTTCACCATGTTGGCACACTGGTCTTGAACTCCTGATCTCAAGTGATCTGCCCGCCTCGGCCTCCCAAAGTGCTGGGATTACACGCATGAGCTACCTCACCTGGCCAGATTTGGCAAATAATTCTTAGATATGGACACCATAACCATGAGAAAAAATAAATTAGAAACAAAAAAAATTAGACTTTATCAAAATTAAGAACTTTTGTGCTTCAAAGTACATCACGAAGAAGGTGAAAAAGGCAATCCACAGAATGGCAGAAAATATTTGAACATTACATATCTGATAAGGGACTTGTGTCTAGAATATATAAAGAAGTTTTAAATTCAGTAATAAAAAGACAACTCACTCAGTTTAAAAATAGGCAAAGGAGCTCTCCAAAGAAGACATATAAATGGCCAAAAAGCACATAAAGAGATACCCAAGGCCAGGCACAGTGGCTCACACCTGTAATCCCAGCCATTTAGGACAGGAGGATTATTTGTCACCTGACACAGGAGGATTGTCTGTTGCCAGAAGTTTGAGACCAGCCTGGGTAACATAGCGAGACCATCTCTACTATATATGTATATGCTGGGCTATATATAATATATATTTATATATATTATATATAGCCTAGCATGGTGGGGTGCACCTTAGTCCCACCTACTCAGGAGGCTGAGACGGGCGGCTCATTTGAGCCCAGGAGTTCAATGCTGCAGTGAGCTATGATCACATCACTGCACTCCAGCTTGGGTGACAGAGGAGATCCTGTCTCTTAAAAAAAATAAATAAAGATGCTTGACATTATTAGTTGCTGGTCATCATTCATCATCATGGAAATGCAAAGCAAAGCCACAGTGAGATACTACTTCACCCATACTACTACCCATAAGATGCCAAGAATAAAAAAGATAACAACAGGCATTGGCAATATGTGGAGAAACTGGAACACTCATATGCTGCTTGTGGGAACATAAAATGGTCCAGCTTCTTTGGAAAAGTCTCGCAGTACAACAATAGATTAAACATAGAGTTACTATAAGACCCAGCAATTCTGCTCCTAGGCATATATTCAAAAGAAATGAAAACACATGCCCACATAGAAACTCATACATGAATGTTTATATCAGCATTATTCATAATTTCTTAAAGTGGAAATAACCCAAATGTTAACAAATGGATGAACAAAATATGGTGTATCCATATAGTGAAATAACGTTCATTCCATAAAATGGAGTGAAGTAGCGATACATGCTACTACATGAGTGAACTTTTAAAGCATGCTAAGTGAAATAAGCCACACACAAAAGGACAAATATTGTATGATTCCACTTATATGAAATATCTAGAACTGACAAATTCACAGAGACACAAAGTAGATTAGCGGCTGCTTAGAGCTGTTATGGGAGGGGAGAGGGATGACAGCTAAAGAATATGGAATTTCTTCCTAAGGTGGTGAAAATGTTCTAAGACTGACTATGACGAAGGCTGTACGTCTCCGAATATGCTAAAAATAATTGAACTGTAGACTTTAAGTGAGTAAACTGTGTAGTATGTGAATTATCAATAAAACTATTTTAAAAAGAATACACAATATTATAGTCTACTAAATTTAGAAATCCAATACAACGTTTTCAAAGGAGTTAAAATAAATTGCTTGTATCAGAAGGCAGAAAGCAATATTGTAAAAATATTGTTTTATTTTTCTTACATATGATTTATTTAATTAGTCCTATTACTACTAATTCTATCAACTAGTCCTATTGTTGTTTTGTTTAAATAATAGCATTATATAATAGAAAAGTAATACACAATGATGCATAATTTCAAATAACATTGATTTTCATATTTTTGTTAAAGTAATACAACATAATTGTGCTAATTCTAATTATATATAATATATATGTATAATAATACATTATTATATAAAACATATATGTATTAATTTATTTTGTTCTGGTATGGCTGTGTCCCAGGTTGGCATTGTAAATAGTTGGCTACTGATTTAACTCCCACATAAATTCTATGATGTAGCTAATACAATTATCCACTCCAAACTCCTGACCCCAATTTATAGATGAAGGAACAGAGGCTCAGAGATATTAAGTAACTTGCTTAAAACAACAAGAAAATAAATGGAATTTTTTCTCCCTCCCATATAAGGTTTATCTACTCAATTATTTCCTCTTTTTAGGGTGATTGAACATAAAAATGTCCATCCTCTTTAATATAGTTTTCAAAAACTACTAGTCCTTGGTAGTGTGAGTTTCAGTGTGTGCATACATACACTTGAGTGCCTGTTTGTGTGTGTTATTGTTCAGCAGCACATTTTAAAACTGGGAATTTTCATATATAAATCCAGACTTTTTCTCTTGAAAACGCAAATGATATGGCAACACTGGGTCCACATTCCTCCACAGCAGCAGTTGCTAGCCTGTAGCTATCTCTTTAGTCGGGAGATTCATCTTCAATTTGCCCAGTTTGCCATCTCCTGCAGCTTCGCTCAAGGACACTACACTTCCTTTAAAGAGGTAGCCTACCATAATGGCTAAAGACAGGGCTGTGGAGCCAGATGGATTCAAATCTAAGCTCTGCTACTTATTGGTTCTATAACAATAAACAAATTACTTAACCTTTCTGTGTATAGATT